>NC_000020.11:7490577-7642092 GCF_000001405.40 Homo sapiens | reverse complement strand
CAAACAAAACAAAACAAAACAAAACACAAATTTACCAATATGAAGAAATCTAAGATCGGATTCTTTGAAAAATCTAGTTAAGTAAACTATTAACCAAATGTATTAGAAAAAAAGAAGTATAAATATGTAAAATTAGGAAAAAACAGAAATAACCATGGATATAGAAAAAAATCACAAGCACCCTAAAGAATACTTTTCTCAATTTTATGTGAATACATTTAAAACATGGGTGAAATGTGTGATTTTCTAGAAAAAATAATGATAACTTTAGAAAAGAGGGCCCATTTCTTTGGAACAAATTGACATACTTGACAAAAAACTTACTACCTACTGTTCCTTTCTTCTCCTCAAAAGTACTATGCTCATATGATTTTACTTATAAACACATAAATTCTCTTAAACCTTTCAGAAATATGATTTCAAAGATAAACAGTTTTAGACCTTAGAGAGAAAAACTTTCAAATTACTGTTATGACACCAAATGTAACATAGAGAAAGCTAGTGTCACATTAAAGAAACTACAAAAACTGGCCAGGCGTGGTGGCTCACGCCTGTAATCCCAGCACTTTGGGAGGCCGAGGCGGGTGGATCATGAGGTCAGGAGATCGAGACCATCCTGGCTAACAAGGTGAAACCCCGTCTCTACTAAAAATACAAAAAATTAGCCGGGCGCGGTGGCGGGCGCCTGTAGTCCCAGCTACTCGGGAGGCTGAGGCAGGAGAATGGCGTGAACCCGGGAAGCGGAGCTTGCAGTGAGCCGAGATTGCGCCACTGCAGTCCGCAGTCCGGCCTGGGCGACAGAGCAAGACTCCGTCTCAAAAAAAAAAAAAAAAAAAAAAAAGAAACTACAAAAACTGTGCACAATGAATTTATAAATATCAATGTTGACAATGTTGATACACTAATATACTATTAGCAAGTAAAATCCAGTAGCACTTTAAAAGAATGATAAAATTCTAAGTAAGATGGCACATTAAAGGCACAGATATTTACTAGAAACATTATTCAGAATTTTCCTGCATGCATAATAATACATGTAATGCTAAGTTTTGAATTGTGAATCATATATGTTCTCATTTTGCTTGTATAATTGCATATGCATGAAAAATGGAGAAGTATACACAAGAAATACTTATCATTGGAGTATATGCTAAAGCTGAGGTTTGAAAGGAAGAATTGGCTATCATATTTTATTAAATTTAATTACCAACTACTATAAGACATATTAGTATTCAGTGTAGTCCTAAGAATAAATATTTAAATTATAATGCACCGTGAATTTCTACATCTTCATTATTATCATTATTTTCTTTTATTTCAGAAATAATACAATGTGAAAAAAGTTTATTAGGACTGGTGAAAATTAGTATTATTATATCCTATTGTTATTTCTTGAAGTTTTTATGAATATATTTATTTCATCAATAAATAACTAAACAGCAATTTCACTAATACTACGGGAAGACGAGTAAATTATTATAGGGCCTCCTCAAATTGTATACCTTAGGCGTAAGTACTTCTATTTCCTCAAATTTGGTTTTGAAGAAGAAACTGGTAAAAAGACCTTGAACCTCCCTTATATTTATAATAGTTCTGAAGCCTTTTAAAATCTGGTGACTTCTCACAGCAGTCTCCTGTTCTTCTGTACTTTTCAGGACTGTATGAAACTCTCTTCCTTCCATATCAGCCAAACCTCAGCTCAGAATTACAGAACAGGGAGACTGAAAATTAGAAGAATCGGGGCGGTAGGCAGTAGCCAAATCCTGCTAAAGGTCATCAGAAGAATTGAGCTTTTTCTCAAAAGGTTTTAAGTAGTGACTGTCATGATTGGATTTTCATTACAAAATCATATTAGTGGGTAGATAGCATTTTGATTTTTGTGTAAAAAATCAATTAGAAGAAAGGAAAATAGAGGCAAGGGACTTGAAATCAAGTTTCCAGTCTCAATTTGTGTATGTTCAGATTATCTCTTGAGCAGGACAAATTTTACAAAAAGTTCAAGTAGGAAATCCACTCTCTCTTATTGTCATAAGTTTAAGGGATTCTGAGAAGTGAGGGCCCTAAACTTGGCTTCCATTTCTAACAGTGCTGGGCTTTGATATTCTGACATCAAAGCATTTTGTAACCTTAAGGATTCACGTTATATGAAAATTAAAATAACACTAAGATCTTTTGCCTTGGGAAGGTGGATTAATCAAATATTTCCTAAATTTCTTAAGAGATTACCTAAAAGAGCATTAAGACACTCAAGTTATGATGCAAAGTAGGTGTTCAATTAATCTTTAAAGAATGAATAAAGGAAAAAATGAAGAAAATAAAAGGATAAATTAAAAGCAATATTTTGGAGTTGGGTGGTGTTGGCAGTATAGCAGTTGCCTCTAACAGAGAGAGAAAGTGAGAACATCTGCGCTTAAATGCCTATCTTGTCACAGATTTGCTCTGGACAAGTCTTGCTGAATAAGAATACCTTCTATCCAGCACATATCAGGAGAATCTCAAAAAATAAAAAGAAATTAACTAAATAAAAAAATGAAGCAGAAGAGTTTAGTGGATATTGGTGTAGGCGTGCAATGGGAAAGCTGTTCAATTCAAAAACAGGGCGGTCACAAATGAAACCCTAGATTTTCTACTTCTCCCCTTTTGCAACACCTCTCCCCACTCTTGCTCCTGTAATTTTTATTTTTGTTTTACTTTGACCTAGATTTGTCTTCAGGGTCTGGGTTTAACCTGGAGGAAAGCGGGGGAAGAAATAAAGCCTTAAGAAATATTCCTTACTAAACACAGGAACTGCTCCACATTGCCTAGGACGCAAGGCTCCCCATGAATTCAGGCTCTATTTTTGAAAGTCAAAAGGATTGCAGACAGGCAGGTTTACTTTAGATAAGCATCTGGATTTGGGGATGGTCATCTGAAGCCCTGCCTGTCATTACATTTCACAGCAATGAAAGAACATCTACTCATAGGTTCTAAATCAATGAAGAAGATTCAATGAACATTTCAGCTTGTTTTCTTGCCCAAGTCACTGTAATATTTTCCAGATTTTCACTTTGCCTGTCCAAGAGTGTGGGTATCAGTGTGTGATCAGTACTTCCCATCCTGTTTGTAGATACATTGCTTCCTACCCAGACAAGGACCTCTTAATTGATCCTTAAAATATAGGTCAGGATGAAAAGGTGTCTTTGCTGTTTCTCACGAAGGGGGTTTTAATGGCGAGAGTTCTAGATGCTGAGAAGCTACAATAACAAAAGGAATTATTTGGAAAAGAAGGTGAGAATCACGAGGTATCATTGCAAGACTGGCACATCCCTTAAATTGAAGGATAACTACCAGGAAAAGCATTCAGAGATAATAAGATAGCATTAGAATGAATATAGTCAGAATAAATTAGCTACAAATGTGAATGGCTTCTGAATTAATTCCAGTTCAGCAGTGCCTTCAAAAAGGTGTTAGATAAAACTGTGACCATAAAATGGGGCTTCAGAGTAGCTTCTAAGAGGTGGGTAAAGTTTGGTTTCTCAGGTATTCTCAGAGAAAATTAATCAAGTTTATGACATATATACACCTTTAAGTATGAATGCCATATATGTCAATAAAGAGTCAAAATCTATAAAATATTTAAAGATGTATTAATATGAGTGACCAATGGCGTATGACAAAGCCCTCAGGAGATCCTGGGAACATGTGTACAAGGTGGTAGGGGAACAGCCTAGTTTTATACATTTTATGGAGACATGAGACTTCAATGAAATACATGTAAGATATACAGTGGTTTGGTCAAGAAAGGCAGGACAACTCAAAGTGGTGGTGGTTGGGGGTGGGGGCAGTGGGCTCCCAGGTTATAGGTAGATTTAAAAATTTTCTGATTGGCAATTGGTTGAAAGAGTTATTATCAATGGAAAGGAATGTCTGGGTTATAATAAGGGGTTGTGGAGCCCAAAGTTTTATCATGCAGATGAAGTTTCCAGGTAACAGACTTCAAAGAGAATGATTGTAAATGTTCCTTATCAGACCTAAGGTCTGTATAGATGTTAAATGCTGGTTGGCTTTTCCCGAATTCCAAAAGTGAGTAGGGTATAATGAGGTAGGTCTGACCCTCCCTTCCTGTCACAGACTGAACCAGTATTTTTGGTTAAATTTGGAGTGCCCTGGGTGAGAGGAGGCATCTGCTCAGATGGTTGGGGGACCTTAGAATTTTACTTTTAGTTTACATATGTCAATAAAAATAAACAAAACCTGCAATGTATTTATTTGGGGCACCTATAGAAAGTCATCACTACACTTCTCAAAACAGCATTCCATTTTACATCCCACTCAATGCCTACTGCTCGTATTGCACTCCTGAATATTTTTCCCCTAAAATTAGGTTTTAGAGCGTCCTCTGGGTAATGTGCATTCATAGAATTATGGCAAGAATTTTTGTGCCAGATCAGTGAAGAAAGAAAGGTGGGTTGTAGAACACTGTTGGACTCCATTGTTGTTACATATTGAGGAGCCAGGGTATGATGAGAAAGCTACCCCCTAATATAGTAAATATGAAAACAATGATATATTATGCTTGCTTGCAGTGGGTGCCTGCAGAGCTGTTGAGAACTGATATTATCTCTTTTGCTAGAAGGGTGGGGATATTATGCCCATTGTGTGTGGGCAGGATGTGGACAGCTATAGAAAAACACTCTGCAGCAGATAACATCTAGAAATCCTTTTTTCATTGCTCCTCAAATCCTTTTACCCACCCCATGTGTCCCTGGAGATATCTAGTTTGGTGGATTTCTCCTTGTGAGTTATGACTAACTTCTTTCAACAGTTGTCTCTCCATTGTCCTGGTAATATGAAACCATATCTTGCTTCTTCACTGTTTTCTTTGTTCTTCTAGACTCTAATCACCTTTCCAATGCTAGTGTAAAGGCCAAATCAAGGCCAGATGGTCCGGAGCAGAATTTTTTAATTCAAATGGATCTGTGAGTGAGTTTCATCAACTCATTCTAAGAACCCCTGAAATTCTAAGCAAATATTCTGTGTATACACGCTTGTGCATTTTCTTGAAAGCAGTTCTCTAGTATTTATCATCACTTTTCAGATGTTTATCCCTACCCTGACCCATAGTTTAAGGACTACAAGCACAGATTCTCTTTGGCAGAATTTAGGCAATGTATTACATTGCCTTTTTATACATATAAACATGCATACTTCCTACCTATAAAGCCAATACACTCTTCAAAGAGACAGAGACTTTTGTGGTTCCAAATAAGAATACCCATTTCCCTTACTGATCCTAGTCCTCTTTAGCGGCAAGTATACCCAACCCCTAGCTGTAATGAGTAGCTAAATTGGTAACTGTCAATTTAGGGCTGTGCCTTATCCAGATAATTATCCTTCATCTAACTGTGAGACATTTTTTGCACAGGGACGGGAGTATCCCATAGCTAATGACCACCGACCAGAAGTACCAGAGGCCTGCTCCAATTCTTAAAGGAGGCATCAAGTCTATGGAGTAATACCTCAGAGCTTCCTTTCAGATTAGGTTGAAGCTCAGTTTTAGCTGAGACCACATACTGGCTTAGCAGCTTCTTCAGCCCCCTCCACTTTCTTCATTTCCCTTTTCCTGAGAGCACTTGAATGTCTGTCTCAGGCTCTATTTTTGTGGAACCCAATCTAAAACAATAGTCCACACTTATAAGCCCTTCAGCTAGTTTATGGTGTGTTTGTCTGATAGAGTTAATGGTCTCATTGAGGTCATAATGTGAGATCATTAGTTTCAATTTAGTTCTATAATTAAAGTAAAAACTTTAATTATAATACTCAAATGTTTTATTGGCCTATTTAAAAATAGAAATAACATTTTGGACTTATATAAGACATTTTTCATAAATGGTGAGTGACAATTGCTATTATGACCAATGTTGCATGAAAATAATTTATTTGACTTGTCCTATAAACCAGAAATGGAGTTACGATCTATCTACTTTTTGTCTATCACCTTTACTACTTGACCTTTCCTCTTTCTGCCATTTTTCACTGATACAAGTATTTCAAACCACGTTCTTGGATGAAAGTTCAGCTTTCAAATTTGTAAGGCAATCTAGTTTCTGAAAGTGCACTACAATTTTGGAAACAGGCAAATTATCTTGTCAATGTCATGACTTGGTTTATTCCTTAGGTGTGAGCCAACATGTAATGTATTTCCTAATCACCTGTTCATGTGGCATAGGTTCTTGACAATAATAAAATAACATCATTTCATGAGTTCTTAAACTATGCCAGGCCCTGTGCATGCATTATCTCATTTAGGGATAAAAGCATCCCTGTACTATAGGTACAAGTATCTCCATTCTACAAATGAGGACCTAAGATATGTTAATAAATTTGCATATGTGTATGTGATAATTGAAACAAAATTATATATCATCTAGTATGCAAGACAGTTATATTTAAAAATGAGGAGGAGAATGGGATCTAAATAGAAGTTAGTTTCAAAGCTTCACAGAAAGTGGTAAAGTTTTGATATCAGTAGCATTTGATAAGTTATATACACATATTGTAACGCTGAGAGAAATCCCTGAAAAAACACACAAAACCCAAAACCACTATATATAATTTGTGATAAAATCCTAAAAACAGTTCAAGTAAATCAAAGAAAGGCAAGAAAAGAGAAACAGAAACAACAACCATGTAATCCCAGCACTTTGGGATACTGAGGCAGGTGGATTGCTTGAGCCCAGGAGTTCAAGACCAACCTGGACAACATGGGGAAACCCTCTTTCTACAAAAAAAATACAAAAATTAGCCAGGTATGTTGGCATGCAAGTGTAGTCCCAACTACTTAGGAGGCTGAGGTGGGAGCATCGCTTCAGCCTGGGAGGCAGAAGTGGCAGGGAGCCGAGATCACGCCACTGCACTCCAGCCAGGGTGACAGAGTGAAGCTGTGTCTCAAAACAAAAGCCTGGATGCAGTGGATCGTGTCTGTAATTGCAGCAATTTGGGAGGCTGAGGTGGGCAGATTACTTGAGATCAGGAGTTCGAGACCAGCCTGGCCAACATGGTGAAACCCCCATGTCTACCAAAAAATACAAAAATTAGCCAGGCTTTGTGGCATGACCTGCAATCCCAGCTTCTTGGGGAGGCTGAGATGGGAGAATCGCTTGAACCTGGAAGGTGGAGGTTGCAGTGAGTGGAGAACCACTGCACTCCAGCCTGGACAACAGAGTGAGACCTTGTCAAATAAAACCAAAAAACAAAAAACCAACAAACAGAAGAAATAGAGAGAAAACAAATTATAAAGCAAAATAATAGACTTAAGCTTAGCATTAAGTATAAGTGGTCTTAATATAATTATGAGGTAGAGATTGGCTGATTAGATAAAAAACATGAACCAGCTATATGATGTTTATAAGAAACTCTCTTAAACTTCAACAACATAAGTGGACTTAAGATAAAAGCATGGGAAAGTTATATCATGATGATAACTATTTTTAAAAGAGAAAGTGGCTATATTAATATCAGATAAGGTAGATTTTAGAACAAAGAAAGATTTCAAGTCAGTAGTTGAATCCTATCTCAGAAACTAGAAAAAGAAGAGCAAAATAAACCCAAGTAGGCATAAGGAAGGGAATAACGCAGATAAGAGCAGAACACAGAGAAATGGAAAACAAAACCAAAAAAAAAAAGAAGGAAAAAAATCAATAAAACAAAAGGCTGTTTGTTTTTTAAAAAACTATAAAATTGGTAAACTTCAGCAACAGTGACAAAAGTAAAAAGAGGGAACACATAAACCACCAAAATTAAAAATAAAACGGAGGATGCCACTACAGATCCTGCAGCTAGCAGCAGGATATTACGGCCTTCACACTCAAAGTCAACAGCGTGGAATAAACAGACAAACTTCTCAAAAACCACAAACTACTAAAGCCTAATTAAGAAGAAATGGATAATGGGAATGGTTCCATAATGATTCAAGAAATAAATTTGTAGTTTAAAAGGTTCTGAATAAAATTTCTTGGCCTAGATCATTTCACTGGAGAACTAGACCAAACACTTAAAGAAGAATTCATCTACCAAGTGTATACAATCTCTTCCAGAAAACTGAATATACTCCACCTGATTTTATGAAGCCAATATTACTTGAACATGAAAACAAGAAAAAAATGATCAAATGAAAAAAAGAAAACTACAGACAAATATCTCTCAATGAATTTAAACAAAAATTCTCAGTCGAATTAATATTTGATTCTACAGGGCAGTTCTACAGGGCAAGGTTGCATGCCTACATTCTCAACTTCTTGGGAGGCTGAGGCAGGGGAATTGCTTGAGCCAAGGATTTCTAAGATGTAGTGTGCCATGCCAGTCAGATGTCCACACTGTTTTTCATCAGTATGGTGACCTCCCATGAGCAGGAGACCACCAGGTTGCTCGAAGAGAGGTGAACCATCCCGGGTCAGAAATGAAGCAGGTCAAAACTCTCATGCTGGTCCATAGTGGGATCACACCTGTGAATAGTCACTGCCTTCCAGCCTGGACAACATAACCTGTGTCAAAAAAAAAAAAAAAAATGTAAAGAAAATCTAATCTAACAGTACATAAAAGACTTATAAATCATGACCAAGTGTGATTTATTATTTGAAATTCAATCATTGTATCCACCATATAACCACACTAAATGTGTTAAAGTCACATGATTATAACAACTGATGCAGAAGAAACATTTGAGTACACTTGAAATCTCATTTATGTTAAATACAAAAACTCTCAGTATATTAGGGAAAATGATCTTCTTCAACTTGATAAAGAACATCTATGAAACAAATGACAGTTAACAGGATATTACTGCTGACAGACTGAATGCTTTCCCCATAAGACTGGAACAGGTTACTACTCTTATGTAACACTGTACTGGAAGTTATAGCCCCAGCAAAATAAAATGAAGAAAAGAAATAAGTAACAAAGGAAGGCATTTAGATTGGATTGGACAGGAAGAAGTAAAATTTCCCCTATTTGCAAATCACGTAACTGAGAAAATCCCAAGAGATATATACCAAAAAATTCCAGAACTTTATAAATGAATTCAACAAGGTTACAAGATTCAAGATCAATAAACAAAAACATTAATAACATTTCTATATGTTAATAAAGAACATGAACATGTGGAAACCAAAACAAAAACCACAATACTATGTACAATTACATAAACATAACAAATCATTTGTAGACTCTATATACTGAAAATTATAAAATATTGATGACAGAAATAAAATATGACCTCATAAATGAGAGACATACCATGTTCACATATTTGAGGACTCAACAAAGTAAAGATGTCAATTATCTCCAAATTATTTATAGGCTTAATACAATTCCCCAAAAAATCCTACCAGGGTCTTTTGTTGTTGCTGGCATGTAAAACTTACTTTAAAACTTATATAGAAAGATGCTGGTCAAATCATAGCTAAACTTTCTTGAAAATAAAAACATATTCTGGGAGACACCACTCTATTAAATGTTAAATTCCACTACGTAGGTCGAGTGTGGTGGCTCAAGCCTGTAATCTCAGCATTTTGGGAGGCCAAGGCAGGAAGACCACTTGAGTCCAGGGGTTTGAGACAAGCCTGGGCAACACGGCGATACCCTGTCTCTAAAAAAACACAAAAATTAGCTGGTTGTGGTGGCACATGCCTGTAGTCCTAGCTACTTGAGAAGCTGAGGAGGGAGGATCACTTGAGCCCAGGAGGTCAAAGCTGCAGTGAGCTGAGATAGCGCCACTGCACTCCAGCCTGGATGACAGAGATAGACCATCTCAAAAAATAAATAAATGAATAAATAAATAAATAAATAAAAATCACTATATAGGTATAGTAATCAATACAATATGCTATTGGTAAAGAGATACACACATAGACAAGTAAAAGGAGATTCCAGAAATATAACCACATAAATATGACAGACTGATTTTTGACAGAGGAGGAAAAGAAATTCTTTGGAGAAAAGAGTTTTTTTCAATAAAATGTACTGTAGCAATTGAACACGCATAAGCATTTAAAAAAAAATCTCAATTTAAACCTCACACTTTATACAACAATCAAAAATAAACTAAAAGTGTGTTAAACACTTAAATTTAAAACCAAAAACTATAAATCTTCTGGGAAAAAACCCAGGAGAAAATCTTCAGATTTAGGACTGGGATAGAGTTCTTAGAATTGACATAAAAATAATGACTTATAAAAGGAAAAATTAATAAATTGGATCTCATCAAATTCAAGATTTTTCTTCTGTGAAAGACTGTCTTTGAAAAACTAGAGATGAAGAGAACATATTTGCAAATTACGTATTCAACAAAGGGCTACTATCTGGAATATATAATGAATGCTCAAAATCAGCCTCAAAAACAGAATATCTTGAACTGACATTTCACCAAAAAGAATATACAGATGTCAAATAAGCACATGAAAAGATGTGGAACATCATTAGCCATTAGAGAAATGCATACTGGAACCACAGTGAAGATATCACTACACACCTATTCTAATGAATAAAATGTTTAAAACAGTGATAATGCCAACAGATGGTAAGCATGTAGGGAAACTGAATCACTCTTATTGCCATCAGGAACATAAAATGGTATGGCTACTCTTGCAAAGGTCATGGCGGTTGCTTACAAAACTAAACATGCACTTACCATACAATCCAGCAATTGCATTCTTGGTCACTTATCTCAGAGAAATTAAAACTCATGTTGACACAAAGACCCGTATATAAATATTCATAGTAGTTTTATTTATAACAGCCCAAAATGAAAACAGCACACATATTTTTCAACTAATGAATGGCTGGGAAAATCTATGCAGCATACATAGCAGGGAATACTGCCCAAGAATAAAAATATCAAACTACTGATATACACAATGGTTTGGATGGATGACCAGTGAATTATATTGAATGAAAAAGCTAATCTCAAAATGTTACATACTGTATTATTCCATTGATACAACATTCTTGAAATTACAAAATTATGGAAGTGAAGAACACATTAGTGAGAGCCAGGCTTTAGAGACAGGAGGGTTTGACGAGAGGGAGGTGGATTTGATTCTCAATGGTTAATAAGAGAAATTCTTCTGGTAATGGGATTTTTTTTCTGTCTGTATTGCATCAATGTCAATATCTTGGTTGCGATAGTATATAGTTTTACAAGATGAGGAAAAGTGAGTAGTGTATAGGAGATCTTTCTTTCTTTCTTTCTTTTTCTTTCTTTCTTTCTTTCTTTTTCTTCCTTCCTTTCTTTCTTCCTTCCTCTCTCTCTCTCTTTTTTTTTTTTTTTTTTTTGCATCTTGTTCTGCCACCCAGGCTAGAGTGCAGTGGCGTGATCTTGGCTCACTGCAGCCTCTGCCCCACCAGGTTCAAGCGACCTTCATGCCTCAGCCTCCTGAGTAGCTGGGATTACAGGCATGCATCACCACGCCCAGCTAATTTTTGTATTTTTAGTAGAGACGAGGTTTCGTCATGATGACCAGGCTGGTCTCAAACTCCTGGTCTCAACCGATCCACCTGCCTCGGTCTCCCAAAGTGCTGGGATTAGAGGGTGAGCCACCGTGCCCGGCCAGATCTCTGGATTATTTCCTTTCTTTCTTCCTTTTTTTTTTTTTTTTTTTTTTTTTTTTTGTTCCAGAGACGGAGTTTCGCTGTTGTCGCCCAGGCTGGAGTGCAATGGCGCGATCTCAGCTCACTGCAACCTCCGCCTCTCGGGTTAAAGCAATTCTCCTGCCTCAGTCTCCCCAGTAACTGGGATTACAGGCACCCACCACCACAGCTGGCTAATTCTCTGTATTATTTCTTACAACTACATGTGAATCTAAAATTATCTCCAAGAAAAAAGTTAACTTAAAATAGTGAAATGCATAATTCTCATACAAATATATATTTAACTTGCATCAAATATTTTATACAATTCATTATAATGAAGGAACCAGTAAGATACTAGATGGATTCAAAGAAGAATTTGAAGAACACACACACACACACACGAGTCATACAGGCAGTTATGAATGACTAAGTTTTCTAATGAATATAAAATTGGTTACTCCCTTATAGGTCAATAACATGTAATTTTTGGTGTAATCTTTGTTACAGGACTAAAAATCAGAAATCAATTATATCCCAATGGGGAGAAACTTCATATGTTCAAGAATAATTTGCTTTCTTATTATTTTTCTGCAAGCTGTCTTCCACTCCTATATAATTGTGAAATATTAGGTTGGTGCAAAAGTAATTGCAGTTTGGGGGATTACTTTGCTGGCAAAAACTGCCATTACTTTTCCACCAACCTAATAGCTTGGTCCATAGATAGCTATAGTCAGAGTGTTCCCACAGAGTTTGCTAGTCAACACTCAGCATTGTGTGAAAAGTACACCCTATTACTTCTATTGCTTATTTTCAAATTTGGGGAAAATTTTCTTACACATGTATTGAGCACTTCTGGCATGCTGTCGGAGGAAGAGTCATAATAGTGAAATGACTTAATGGAAGCAAAAAAGATGATATTTCTTACAGATTCATGATTAAGTTTTCCTCAGTAGTTACCTCATTTCTTTGTTGATCTTAGATATCATGAAAGAGGACTATAAGAATTATCAAAAGAAGGACAGTGTACCTTTGCCATTTCCTATAAGAATGAGGAAATGGCAAAGTTTTACTATTGTCTCTTCATCTCACTGTTGTTTTGGTGATATCTTATTATAAAAGTCACAATACCAGTTTAGATGGTCTAGTGGGAGGCTGCAATATATTTTTTCCAAAGTAATAATAAAGAACATTCACTGTTTACTTTTTTAAGTGCTATTCTGAATGTTTCACATTTATTAACCCCCATGTTAGGTGCTACGATTAACCCCATTTTCAAATCAGGAAACCTAGACAGAAAGACACTAAATACTTTCCTAAGGTAATATGGCTTACGGGAGAGAATTTTAATCTAGGAAGTTCGAATCTATATTCTGCACTTACAAATGCTGTGCTACAGCTTCAAGTCCTCAAGAGACTGTGCCTCATTTATCTCTCCTACTCTTAGTAAAGTTTTCTTGAAATAGAAATCCACAAATTTGACCTGTGGTAGTTCCCCTGAAAATACTTTTACTAGGTTCATTCAGCCATAAGTATGTTACACTAGTATTTAGGAATCTTAATATGAAATGACAATTCGAATGAGTTAATACAGGACAGATTAAACAAAAATCCATAATTTGCACCTATATTATTATTTACCGTTTCTTTTAGATGGTGCATAATGTACTATATATACACATAGCAATGTAGCCACTACACTGGAGATTTTTCAGTAACATGCAAATTATGAATATAAAGTGGACTTGTTTGAAATGTGTTTCACAATGTCGAGTGAATAAAATGTAAACCAGAAAAAAAAATTAACTGCAAATTAAAGTCAAATGCTTTTGGCGCTTAATGAGTGTTAATCAGCAATGGTAGTAATTTCCGTACATTATTTCATGTCACAGAGCTTGTGCATGGAATATTGGCTTCTTGCCCTCATTGTCTTTGGAATGTGGAAACTATTAGAAATCATTGCTCGTGCAAGGAAAACCTACCATGATGTTTTAGGAATTTCAGGAGGCTATGAATAATATAGGTTGAGTAAGGAAATGAATAATCATGTGGCTCTTTATAGTTTTTGTTTTTCTGAGTTTGAAGTTACAGGCTTGGCATGTTATCATTCTCATAGCATTTTTTTGTGACTAAAAGCTGTTTACTTAGTAGTCACAGGCAGCTGGGGGATACTTCTAGTTGTTTTTTCTTGCTGAAAGGAAACATAGGAATGCTATAATATAGTGATCTCTTAATGATAGAGAAGTTCACCAAACACTTATCTGATGCACACATCTTTTGAAGTCCAGATTCAAAAAATCTGGAGAACATAGACTATCAATCAGAACTTTTTATTGCAGCTTACTTGGCTGGCAATGTCTTAATACCTGAAGTCACACAACTGAGGTCTACTGGAAATGAATTTCTACCCAACTTTGTCTGGCTGCAGACCTCTGCTTACCAGTGTCTTCCCTCATTACCAAAGTAAAGACTTTGTCATATGTGAAACAGCCCAAAAAGCAGGACTCAGACTTCTTCTCTATGGTAATTCTGAGCTCAGTCTTGGGAGCCTCCTGAGCTGAGACTGGGTTTTGCAATGTGACCTACCTTGACCTAGCAGGAGGCCAGGCCATAGCTGCTTCTGTCATTGCCACATAAACCCGTTCTACCTTCTTAGCCATAGTCCCAGTTACTTCTAGTAAATATCAAATGCAGGAAAACCAAAGCAGCAGAAATACAGGAGTAATTAAGTAAACATACGCCTTTAAAATACATTTTGAAAAATGTTATCTAAGATTTGAGAATTCTGAGTTCTCAACTTGGAGCAAAGCCCAAAGAAAGGAATCAAACCCTTGGCTTTATTATATCTTAATTCTTACTGCCTCAAGGTGACAAAAAGATGAATCGTAATGTAGTAGACTCTGTTAGTGTCTTGTCAAGATTCCATTTACCTTCCAGTGCACCCATCTCCCAGCTCTTCTGCGAGTTCACTGTTCATGGCTCACAGCTGCCTTCTCTTCTCAAAACTTCACCTTGGTCAGTGGGAGCCATGCTACCCAGCAATATCTGAGGAGTTATACTCTCATGGGAGACAATGCCTGATAGCCAAAGGGTGAATGATGAGAGGGCACCAAAAACTCTCCACTTGTAACAAACCCTGCAGGCTATTCACGTTTCAAAGTCCTCCAAGGAATCAGGCTGGGGCTAGACTTCATCTGGAACACCTATCTGGATAGCTGTTGCTTCTTTCCTTTATTCCTCTCTTTCCCTTATAGGTTTCTCCTGATAGAACATCTTTAGTAAATTATTTTCATAGGCTCATGCATGTGCTTGCACACACACACACACACACACAAATATGACAGCCTCTGCTTCTAGGGAACTTGACCAAAACAAATACTCTGGGAGCTATCAAGGAATAACAGTAGGCGGGGGATAAGTCTTCATGTAGAGGGAGAGAGATGAAAAAAGGAAAAGAAGTTGTATTTAACAAACAAAAGAATAAGTGAAGTTACTTCTTGTCCAGCTCACAGAATCCGGAATGCTCTTAATTTTTAAATAGATGTATTTAATTTTCTCCAATGAGAAGTTAAATGCCTTTGATAGCATATTGTCACTGGAAATATATATTTTAAAATTTGTGAGCTACAAAATAATTTATACAATTAGAAGCCTTTCAAAAGTAGGCATCATGGATACGCATGGTAGGAAGGAAGCTTAGCAGTTCCTTACAGGTAGGCCTCAAGACATTTCTAAGAATTGGGTGTCTTCTCTTTTTTATAAATTCTGAGATAAGAACATTTATAACAAATTCAGCAACTTATTTTGATAATGAGTCTCAAAGCCTGAAAATTATTCATTTTAACCTAATACAAGGTGCTTGCCATCCAGTTTAAATTTCCTTTCCCTCTTCTGCCCTGTGTAGACTTAAGGAATTGCTACATTGTATTGTTCCCTTTACTTTTACCAGAAGGGTTCTTCTTCCTTTACTTTTTGGGAAGAAATAAAATGAGGGTTCTTATTTCTCTAATGTAGGGGCAGGGCTCTCTTGAGCATCTCTGTGGTTACAAACTTGTAGATATTCTAGATAAAATATGCTCCTATAATATGTGAGCTTGAATGGCAGAAAATAAATAAGGATCTAGAAACAAAGAGGGAATTAAAGCTAAGATGGCAAAGCACAGGCTGATGAGTGGGTAACCTGGGACAGTTGTGAGTAACGGGGTAGCCAAATCAACAAGCCAAAATGAATTAAGCCTTTAATCACTTTCTGCTATGGTATAAACAAGAAGCCAAAAAAAGAGAAAGCACTGACTCCCCTGTTCCCTTTTGCTCCATGGGGCAGTGCACCGGTGAAGGGTCAGGTGGGTCTCCTGGGGCTCCTGGGGATCGTCTCACTGCAGTATTAGGGACCCTGAGGTTGCAGAGAGGGTGAGGAGGAACGGCTAGGGGTTGGAAAGTCCTGGGCACTGAGGCAGAGGGGGGATGTGTCTCCAGGCTTGCCCCCTCCTCTTCCCATAAGGAGGCCTTGGTGCCTGCAGAAGACCTCAGCTCAAGGCCTCTGATAAGGAGCCTAGGAATGAAGCCTCTGAGTCCTTGACTGAAGCTCCCTCACAGCCCCACACATGGGCCCTGCTCTGGGTCTGCTGTGGGGAGGGCAGCCTTCCTCTGGGGCAGCCAGGTAAAACCTGTGTCATTACCTATGTTTGGACCTGAAAAATCACACACAGTTCTTTTAACCAGAAGCCAGACTCCTCAAATCCCCTAAGGACATATAATTTGTTATTTTTTGTTCTGCACTTGTTAAAAGGCATAGCACTGGAGTTCACAGGATGCTAACAGCCTGGCATTAAGCTAGGACCCCAGACGAGCTTTCTCTTCAGTTTAAAAAAAAAAAAAAAGGAGTAAATTAACATACTAACATTAGCCATTAGTCCATAGAAGAGAAAAATAAAAGCATATTTTTGTCATTATAAACTTAGGGTCTTGCCCTGTTGCCCAGGCTGGAGTGCAGTGGTACAATCATTGCTCGCTGTAGCCTCAAACTCCTAAGAGCAAGAGATCCTCCTGCCTTAGCCTCCAGAGTAGCTGGGACTAGAGGCATGGATCTTGATATGGAACAAAATCTCTCATGAGGAATGCAGGGCCCAGGGCTTTCTATGTCCCTTTGTGTGTCTGGATTCCAATTTATATCATATATGTGATAGGAGAATATCCCAAAGCTACTCAGGGTCTGACAGTGAAAGACACAAATAACCTGATGGGTGCTTTGTAACAACCTATTCAGAGCACAGAGTACACGAGATTTCTACACAAAACACTAAATAACCAATATGAGGTGAAAGAGTTGATAATAAAAAAATTAACAAATGACACAAAGAAAGAATTTATTGCGAGGGATAGTCATGTGAATAGTTAGTCATATAACCAATACACGTTTAGACACGTAGTGGTAAAACTGCACACACAAGACCAAGAAAAACACAAGAATTCATAAAGAATCGGCAAATTTTCTGGGAAGGAATAACAATTAAACTGGCAGGAAGTTTTTCATCAAGACTAAGAGAGACCAAGAAACAGTGAAAAAACATGTTCCATGGATATTTGAAAATAGGCAGCAGAGAGGAAGAAACCACACTTATGATTTTTTAAGACCAACAAAC
Source organism: Homo sapiens (assembly GCF_000001405.40). NCBI lineage: Eukaryota > Metazoa > Chordata > Mammalia > Primates > Hominidae > Homo > Homo sapiens. The sequence goes on along the minus strand of NC_000020.11, from coordinate 7,624,846 downwards.
AAAATCAATAGCGTTTCTGTGCACCAGTCCAAACCAGTTAGAAAGTATTATGCATTTTATAAAAATTCTGTTCACCACTGGAGCCAAAACCAGAAGGTATCAAGGATCAAAAAGCATAAAACCTGTGTATAAAGAAAATTATTAAACTTTATTGTAAGTCACTAAAGAAAACCTTACTATACTGAGGGAGATGCCATGTTTGTGGGTGGAAAGACTGGATGTAATTTCAATAGAATAATCTATAGATAAAACATATTTCCAATTAAAATCACAAGATGATTGAAATATTTTCTCACAGACCTTTACAAACGGATCCTAAAATTTTACAGAATAAAATAGGTTTTAAGACTTTTATAAATTTGAAAAAGAATAAAAGGAGTAACTATATCACCAGATAGGCACACCAGTGATATAGTTATCAGGACAGTGAGATACTGTTATGGTCAATAGACAAAGGTGGTGCTGTCATGCACATTACGTTAATGACAGAGTGGAGAGCTTAGAGACAGGCCCACATGTATATTATTTTCTCTGTACGAGAAGTGGTATTGCAAATCATTGTGGACAGAATCAACTAAAAATAATTACTAAATTATAATATTACTCCAAATGATATAAAAACATACATTTCAGATTCTAAATGTGAACAACAAAAAACTTTAAAACTTTTAGGAGACTCTGTAAGAAAATCCCTTGATGGACACAGAGCAAAGTTTAATGTCATCAACAAGACAAAATTCACGACCCATGAAGGAAGTGAATGATAAATTGACTACCCTAAAATGAATAAAATCTGTGGAAAAAAATAACACCATGAACAAAGTTAAAATCCACACCACAGATTGGCAGAAGATATTAACAATGAATGTAGCCAGTAAACGCTTAGTAGCCAAAATACTTAAGGCATGCCTCCAAAACAATGGGAAAAAAATAAATAACCTGATAGAAAATGGGCAAGAGATAAATGGGAAAGTCTGAGAAGGAGAAAAGAATATGCCGTTAAACATGGAAAATGCTACTTAATTTCACTAGTACAGAGAAATAGAAATTGACATCATACTGAGATCCATATAGCCATCTGTCTTACACAAATTAAAATAGATTAAAAAGACAGAAGTCTGATAATTTCAAAAGGAGGTGAGGATGAAGGGTAATGTACATTAATTAAGCTAAAAATATTAGCTGAAACTGAAAGTCACAATTGCAGCAGCTTCATACAATAAAAATTCATTTTTTATGTCCTAGTCCAGTGGACATGTTGTACAGCCTCTGATGAGGTCATTCAGAAAACCTGGTTTCTCTCATCTTGAAGCTCAGCTTTCTTTATGGCCCTCCGAGAACTCTCCATTCAGTTGATAGATGGGTAAATAAACCTTTGGGAAGATTCACTTATTGGTCACTGTAACTTAAGGACCACACATCTCTTCTACTCTCATGTCACCAGTATCGTCTTTTGGTAACACCTAGCTGCCAGGAAGACTAGGAAACTGAGTCCAGCTTTATCATCAGAAGAAAAAAAATAGGACTTAATGAATGTCATAATCTCTTGCCACACAATAAGACACTTGTACATTACTGGTGAGACTGTACATTAGTACTGCCATTTTGGAGGGCAATTTTTAGTAAAGTATACTTAGAAGACATTTTAAAAATTAAATATATCAGTGTAAGTACATTTGAAAATGTAAATTAAATTAATATAAGATAGTAAACATAAAGTGCAAAACCATGCATGTAGTATTTTAAATTTTACAGAACAATATTTTTCATTGCTCATGAGTATATGCATGTGACAATAGCATGAAAACATGTATAGAATGTTATATACTGACTTCAAGGTAATAGTGAGAGGTGACAACGTGCTAGCAGCCCTCGCTTGCTCTCAGCGCCTGCTCGGCCTCAGTGTCCACTCTGGCGGTGCTTGAGGAGCCCTACAGCCCGCGAATGCACTGTGGAAGCCCCTCTCTGGGCTGGCTGAGGCCAGAGCTGGCTCCCTCTGCTTGCTGGGAGGTGTGGAGGGAGAGGCGCAGGCAGGAACCCGAGCTGCACACAGCGCTCGCAGGCCAGCACGAGTTCCCGGTGGGTGTGGGCTTGGCAGGCCCTGCACTTGGAGCGGCCAGCCAGCGCTGCCAGCCCCGGGCAGTGAGGGGCTTACCACCAGGCCAGAAGCTGTGGATGGGGCACTGGGTCCCCCAGCACAGCTGCCCCGTCCACGCCTCCCTTGAATTCTGACCGGGCCTCATCCGCCTCCCCTTGGGGCAGGGCTTGGGACCTGCAGCCCGCAATGCCCTAGCCCCCACCACAGTGGGCTCCCACGTGGCCTGAGCCTCCTCTAGGGGTGCTGCCCCCTACTCCGCGGCGCCCAGTCCCATCAACTTCCCAAGGGCTGAGGAGTGCAGGCGCATGGCACGGGACTGGCGGGCAACTCTGCCCACGGCCCTGGCACGGGATCCACTAGGTGAAGCCAGCTGGTTTCCTGAGTCTACTGGGGACTCGGAGAACTTTTATGTCTAGCTGGAGGATTATATATGCACCAATCAGCACTCTGTGTCTAGCTTGGGGTTTGTGGATGCACCAATCAGCACTCTGTATCTGCTAATCTGGTGGGGACTTGGAGAACTTTTATGTCTAGCTAGAGGATTGTAAATGCACCAATCAGCACTCTGTGTCTAGCTCAGGGATTGTAAACGCACCAATCAGCACTCTGTGTCTAGCTCAAGGTTTGTAAACGCACCAATCAGTGCTCCATGTCTAGCTAATCTAGGGGAGACTGGGAGAAATTTTACATCTAGCTAAAGGATTGTAAATGCACCAATCAGCACTCTGTGTCTAGCTCAAGGTTTGGAAATGCACCAATCAGCACCCTGTGTCTAGCTCAAGGTTTGTAAATGCACCAATCAGTGCTCTGTGTCTAGTGAATCTAGTGGGGACTTGGAGAACTTTTATGTCTAGCTAGAGGATTGTAAATACACCAATCAGCACTCTGTGTCTAGCTCAGAAATTGTAAACGCACCAATCAGCACCTTGTTGAAACAGACCAATCAGCTCTCTGTAAAACGGACCAATCAGCTCTCTGTAAAATGGACCAATCAGCAGGATGTGGGTGGGGCCAGATAAGGGAATAAAAGCAGGCTGCCCAGGCGGCAGTGAGTCCCCTTCCACACTGTGGAAACTTTGTTTTTTTTTGTTGTTTTTTAAATTTTTTTTTTATTTTTTAGCTCTTTGTAATAAATCTTGCTGCTCCTTACTTTTTGGTTCTGCACTGCCTTTATGAGCTATAACACTCACAGGGAAGGTTTGCAGCTTCACTCCTGAGGACAGCCAGATCATGAACCCACTGGGAAGAAAGAACAACTCTGGAGGGGAGGAACGATGAACTCTAGACGTGCTGCGTTAAGAGCTGTAACACTCACCACGAAGGTCTGCAGCTTCACTCCTGAAGCCAGCAAGACCATGAACCCACCAGAAGGAAGAAACTCGGAACACGTCCGAACAGCAGAAGAAACAAACTTCGGACACACCATCTGTAAGAACTGTAACACTCACCGTGAGGGTCCACGGCTTCATTCTTGAAGTTAGTGAGACCAAGAAATCCACCAATTCCGGATACAATAGTAAGTTCCAGGGATAAAATAGTGAGAAGGAGTTAGTAGGTTATTTGATTTCTTTGAAGAATAAAATAGATCTGAAGCAAGTCTAACAAAATATCACCAGGTGTTAAGCTTAGAATTTGTGTATCTGTTCTATGCCTTTTCAATGTATATCTGAAGTGCGTATTAATAAAATTATGCTAAAAATAAAATCTAAAATGTAAATGTCTAAAATAAGTGGTTTACCCCTAACCAGTCAGTTATCATTCTCAAATTACGTTAAAACTTCACATATTTCCCTTCCAATTGCAGTGGATAAATGAAATAAAACAATTTTATTTCAATTTAGTTTTAAAAGAAAGTTCTAAGCAAAGTGAAGTGAAAAAACACGTTATCTAAAATATTAAAAATTCATTAATTGCAATATTTTGATAAAGGCAGACCCTTTTATTGATTTATTATTCGCCCACTCTCTCCAATATACAACTATTTGGAAGCATAAGTTGTAGATAAACAATAGCATATGCAGTTGCTAAATGCCAGTAAAACAGTCATGTCATACTATTTTTTTTTTTTTTTTTTTTTTTTTGAGACAGAGTCTCACTCTGTCACCCAGGCTGGAGTGCAGTGGCATGATCTTGGCTCACTGCAAGCTCTGCCTCCCGGGTTCACGCATGTCATACTATTTTTAATGCTTGTATCTTCTTACATCATTTATAATATTTTCAGTATTTCTTTGGGAGGCATATAGTTATTTACAGGCTATCTAAAAAGTTAAAGGCCTGTGGTTCTCAGAATCCCATGTGACTTTTACTTGGTGAGTGAATGCTCCTTAATGATGTTAATTCTTAAATTTTAGGTTGTTTCAGAGTATCTGTTCTGTCTGTTGATAACATTCAGATTCATTTACATTTCCTTGAGGTTGTGAGTTCTGATAATGTGGTTTCTACCATAGAAATCAGTACTTTTTAAACTTAGCTCTCTAGGGTTTAAATTCTCTGGTACGGGAAGTCTTTTAAACTACCAGGAAAAAAAAAATGCTCAAAGACAGCAGAGCAAAATAGTTAAGAGCTTCCAAAGCAATCATCTCAAGTTAAGAAGTATAGCATCCTGATAAGGAGAAGGAACTCTGGAAGCAAACTACCTGGGCTTGAACAAGTTAACTGGACTCCTAACGTATCTGTTTATCTATTATAGAGAGATAATACACAGCTATAGAAAATATGAATATATCATTAACACTAACATGTAGATAATACTAATACCTACTAGAAGGTTTTTATAAGAACTTATAGTATTTGTAAAATTTTCACAAGAGTTTCTGATATATAGTAAGTAAAAGTAAGTATTCATTAAATAAGTAAATTATCATATTTTACAAAGCCTAATTTCTCTTGGGCTGGAATCATATTCACAACTGTGAGTCTGCAACCTCCCAGATTTGTTGATGCAATGTCAGCTTGACTCAAGATGTTATGCAAAATTAAGTTATTAAATAACAAGTTACTCCTTATGGGAAGATTTGTGGTTGTACTTATTACCAAACAACAGCAAAATATTAGGTTGGTGCAAACGTTTGCCATTAAAAGGAATGGCAAAAACCGCAATTATTTTTGCACCAACCTAATCTCTTACTGGCAAATGACTTGAACAATCACAAAAGACATGTTGGTAGAGAAGTTTATATCAATGAGAAACGTAGGATTATTATCAGTGAGCTGACCCCAAATCGTTTCTCCACACCTGAAAACCCACAGTAGCTGTCTGATGGCAAGATTTAAGAATTATAATGAATTTTTAAAAATAATTTTTATTTTGTTTTTTTATTTTTACATCTAACAAACTTTAAAAATTTTAGAATAGTTTTTTTTTCTAAAATTTTTAAAGTTTGTTAGATGTAAAAATAAAAACCTTTGTAGGGACATGGATGAAATTGGAAATCATCATTCTCAGTAAACTATCGCAAGAACAAAAAACCAAACACAGCATATTCTCACTCATAGGTGGGAATTGAACAATGAGAAAACATGGACACAGGAAGGGGAACATCACACTCTGGGGACTGTTGTGGGGTGGGGGAGGGGGGAGGGATAGCATTGGGAGATATACCTAATGCTAGATGACGAGTTAGTGGGTGCAGCGCACCAGCATGGCACATGTATACATATGTAACTAACCTGCACATTGTGCACATGTACCCTAAAACTTAAAGTATAATAATAAAAGAAAAAAAATTTAGAATAGTTGTAGATTTACAGAAAAGTTTCAAAAATATGACCAAGCTCCCATGTACCCTGCACCCAGTTTCCCCTATTTTGACGTTACTATTACAAGTCTGTTACTACAAATGGAGTCGTATTAACACAATGTTTAGATAACAAGTGTTTAGATAACACTTGTTATCTAAAGTCCATACTTCATTAGGATACTTAGTTTTTACCTAATGTCCCTTGACTGTTCCTGGAGCCTATTCAGAATACCAAGGTACATTTAATCCCCATGTCTCCCTAGGCTTCTCTAGACTGTGATGGTTTCTCAGACTTTCGTTATTTTTGACAATCTTTACAGTTTCAAGAGTACTGGTCAGGCATTTTGTAGAATGTCCTTCGATTTGAATTTGTCTGATATTTTCTCATTATTAGACTGGGGTTATAGATTTTGGTGGGGGTGAGGGGAGCCACAGAGATAAAGTGACACTGTCATTACATCAGATCAAGGGTGCCAGCATGATTTATAACAATGATATTAAGCTTGATCATACGAGTGAGGTGGTGTTTGTCAGATTTCTGCAATGTAAAATTGTTCTTTATCCCCCTTTCCTAACATATTTTTTGGAAGTCCTTATGCACAACCCACACTTAAGGAATAGAGAGTTATACTTTACCTCCTTGAGGTGGGAGTATCTACAGCAATTATTTGTAATTTTTCTATGCAAGAGACTTTTCCATTCTTCCCATTTATTCATTTATTCAATCATGCAGGTATATCTCTATGGACTCATAGATACTTACTTTATTCTTTGTGTTATAGACCAATGCTATATTATTTAATTTGTTGCTCAAACCGATTTAGCTTTGGCCATTGGGAGATCTTTCAGTTGGTTCCTTTGACACTTTGACATACCCTATTATTTTGCTTTTTGAGCACTTCCTTACTTTCTGACATCACAAGATACTTTAGGGTTATCTGGTATATTTCCTTTCTCAGCCCTAGAATCAGCAGTTTCTCAAAGGAACCCTGCTTCCTGTTATTGGAGAATGGTATTGTAAACCTATATCTGGGTCCAGGGTATGCTCACTGCCCCTGGTGTGTCAGTATTTCTAGGTCATCTCAGTGGACAGAGCAGGGAAATGTATCTGTGTATACTAACCTATGTATATACTCGTATGTCTAATTAATTCTATGTATATTCATCTGTAATCTATTTCAAGCTAAACATAAGTTAATGGTGATATTTCCTATTCTCATCCTGTACCACATGGCTCATTGTAGCCTTTTCCCTTGCTTATCTGTAACTTCCCTCTCCAACAGTGAGAAACCTGGTTCTTATCCTCTACCAACAGTTTATTTATTTGTACAATCCCAGCATATGTGCACAGTTTTAGAATGGTTAACCTGTTCTCTAGTGAGAAACAACTTCACTCAACTTGAGTACAATGCTTATGTGTAGTTTCTTTTGCTTTTAGTCTTACAGTTTCCACTAATTTCCAAACTTATCTGGGTCATCTCTTTTTCCCCCAATTCATTCATGCAGGTTATGCCAGACACTTGTAATACCATTAGGTTCCTTTGTCATAATTCTGGGGTTTCCAGAAGTTACAATTGATTTTATAAATTTGTATATGTTGAGATTAACTCTTTGTGCTGTAAAGATCTATGGGTTTTGACAAATGCATACTGTCGTGTATCAGCCACTACAATATAAGACAAAATAGTTTCACTGACCTAAAAATTGTGATTGTTTTACTTATTTGATCTTCACCCTTCCCAAACCCCTACTAATCACTGACGTGTTTCTATCTCTATTGTGTTTTCTTTCCTAAAATGTCCTATAAATGGGATAATACAATATGTAGCCCTTGGAGACTGGTTTCCTTCACTTACCAATATACATTTAAGATCTGACTGATAGTCCATTAATTTATATTGCTGAGTAATACTCCACTGTACAGAAGCTGTCAAACTACCTTTTAAAGGAATTGTTCCATTTTGCTTTCTTTCCAGCAATGAAGGAAAATTCCTTTTTTTCATTTCCTCACTAATGTTTTTTATGGACAATTTCATCCCTGCCTCCGGCCCCTGCTCATTTTAGCCATTGTAGTGAGTATGTAATGGTATCTCTTTGTTGTTTTAATTTGCATTTCCCTAATGATATTTGATGTTGAACATAGTTTCGTATATTATTTACCGTCTATATATCTTTTTCAGCAAGGTAGCTGTTCAGATCTTTTGCCCAATTTTTAAAAAATTGAGTTGTTTGTTTTCTCATTGCTGAATTTTCAGTGTTATTTTGTATATTCTGGAACAAATCTTTTATCAGATAAGTGCTTTGCAAATATTTTTTTCACATACTGTGGCTCCTCTTTTCAATATCTTAACAGCATCTTTCATAGATCAAGAGTTTTACTTTTAAAAAAGTCTAACATCATTGTTTATGGATTGTGTTTTGTTATATATAAAAACATATCACCAGGCTGGGTGTGGTGGCTCATGCCTATAATTCCGACACTTTGGAAGGCTGAGGTGGGTGGATCATTTAAGGTCAGGAGTTTGAGACCAGCCTGGCCAACATGGTGAAACCCCGTCTCTACTAAAAATACAAAAATTAGCTGGGCATGGTGGCACATACCTGTAATCCCAGCTACTTGGGAGGCTAAGACACGAGAATTGCTTTAACCCGAAATGTAGAGGTTGCAGTGAGCCGAGATTGCACCACTGCACTCTAGCCAGCGCAACAGAACATGACTCTGTCTCCAAACAAACAAATAAACACACAAAAACTAAACAAAACTTATCACCAAACACAAAGTCACAGATTTACTACTATGTTTTCCTTCCAGAAGTTTTATCATTTTGTATTTTACATGAATGTCTTTGATTCAATTTGATTTAATTTTTTTCTAAAATGTGAGGTCTGTATCTAGGTTCATTTTATGACATAAATTTTAGCACAATTTTTGAGTACTATTCTTTATCCATTGAATTGTCTGGACTTTGTCAAACATTAGTTGGCTATATATGCACAGGTCTGTTTTTGGTTTCTGTATTCTATTTCATTAATCAATATCTTCATTCTTTTGCCAATATGACACTGGATTAAGTAGAGCTTTATAGTAAGTCTTGATGTTGGGTACTGTGAGTCCTCCAACTTTGTTCTCAGTATTCTGTAGACTAGTTTAAATCCTTTGTTTTTCCAAATAAATATTAGAATCAGTTTCATCTTTTTATTGTAGCCATCTTAGTGAGTGTGAAGTGGTATCTCATTATCACTTTGATTTACATTTCACTAATGATTAATAATGCTGAGCACTTTTCATGCCCATTTTAGACATTTGTGTATCCTCTTTAGAAAGATACCTATTCATAGTTTTTGCCCATTTTGAAAAATTGATATATTCCTCTCTTTAGTATCAAGTTTTATGAGTTATTTATATATTGTGAATATAGGTCCATTATCAGATATGTGATTTGCAAATTAATTTTGTGTTTTGATGTTATTTCAAATAGTATTTTTTTCTGAAGTTTCAAGTTCCAATTAGTGATTGCTGGCATGTAGAAATGGAATCGACTTTTTAATATGAATCTTTTCTGCTGTGATCTTGCTCTACTGATAAATTCTGGAAGTTTTTTGTTTGTTTGTTTGTAAATTTTGGCAGATTTTCTACCTAGACAAAATTTTTATCTGTGAATACAGTTTTGTTTCTTCCTTTCCAATATCTATACCTTTAATTTCTTTTCCTAATATTATCACACTAGCTAAGACTTCTGCTATGATGTTGAATAGGAGTGGTGAGAGAGGACATCCTTGTCTCACTCTCAACTTTAATTAATGCAGAACTATTCAGTCTCTTACCATTAAGTATGATATTCACTGTAGATGTTTTATATATACTTTTTAAGTTAAAGATGATCCCTTCTATTCCTAATGTGTTGAGTGTTTTTGTCATTAATGGGTGTTGAAATTTGTCAGAAGATTTTTTCTAAACCTATAGCTGTGATCATATGTTTTTTCTTATTCAGTGTACTAATATGTTGCATTGAATGATTTATGAATGTTGAAGCAACTTTAGATTTCTCAAATGAATTACATTTGGTCTTACTATGTAATCCTTTTTATATGTTGCTGGATTCAATTTGCTAATATTTGTTCAGAAATCTTTTGTTTATGTTCAAGGAGACATGTTGGTCTGTAGTTTTCTTTCTTTGCAATGACTCCATCTGGTATTGGTATTAAAATAAGGCTGGCTTCATAAAATGCATTAGGTCACATTTTCAGAATACATAAATGTGCCCTAAAATGTGTTTTATGTATCCTTAAAATGTGTCCCTTTGCATTTGTTTTCCAAAAGAGATAGCAAAACACTGGTGTTATTTCTTTCTCAACTTTTAGGTGGAATTCATTAGTGAAGCAACTGGGCTTGGTGTTTAATTATTGGGGCAGTTTATAACGACTAAGTAAATTATTTAATAGATACAGGGTTATTGAGATTATTTCTCTTTGAGTGAGTTTTTGTAATTTGTGTTTCCTAGAGTTGGGTTTACCTAATCTAAGTTATCAAATTTGTGGGCATAGACTTTTGCATATTTCTTTATTATCTTTTAATGTTCATGGAGTTAGTAATGACATTGGTAATTTGAGTCTTTGTTAAAATTTGTACATTCTGCCTATGTCTTATCAATTTTGTTGACTGTTTTAAAGAACGAGCTTTTGGTTTTACTCACTGTCTCTATTTTTTTCCTAATCTCAATTTTAATCTTTATCATTCATTTTATTCTAAATTCTTTAGCTTTAAATTTTCTTCCCTTCTCTGTACTCCTAATGTGGAAACTTATGTTATACATTTTAAGATTTTTCTCCTAGCAGTCATTAGTGGAAATCTTTTTAAATATGTTATATAATTTCCTATAAGTACTGCTTTAGTTGCATCCCACAAATTTTGATGTTATATTTTCATTTGTATTTAATTCACATTTTTAATTTTCTCTTGAGACTTCTTTTTTAATTCAAGTGTTATTTAAAAGGGTGGTGTTTAATATCCAAATATTTTGAATTTTTTCCAGCTATCTTTCTGTTATTAATTTCTAATTTAATTCCATATCACCTAAGAGTTCTCTTTATATGACTTTTATTCATTTAAATTTGTTAGGTGTTTATTCATGGCCAGAATATGGCCTCTCTTAGTGAAAGCTCTATGTGTGCATGAGAAGAACGTGTATTCTGCTGTTGTCAGATGAAATATTCTATAGATGTCAATTAGAGCAAGTTGATTGATATTGCTGTTCAAATCATCTGTATCCTTATTGATTTTTTCCTACTTGATCTATCAATTAGTGATATAAAGATATTGAAATCTCCAACTATGATATTGGATTTGTCTCTTTATCCTTTCAATTATATCATGTTTTGCCTCACAGATTTTGCCACTCTGTGGTTAGGCACATAATTGTTTAGGGTAGTTTTTTTTTTTTGGAGCATTGGCCCTTTGTCATTATGCAAACCCTTTATTTATCTCTGATAATCTGTTACGTTCTTAAGTCTGCTTTGTTGGAAATTAAAATAGCCAATCCACCTTTCTTTTTATTTGTTTTAGGATAGTATATATTTATTATTCTTTTACTTTTAACCTACCTGAGTCTGTATTTAAAGAAAGTTTCCTGTAGACAGCATAAAGTTGTATTTTTGTAATTAATCTGACAGTCTCTGCCTTTTAACAGATGTCTTTGGATTATTCTTATTTAAAGTGATCATTGATACTATTGACTTAAAATGTAACATGTTTATAACAACTTTTTATTCATTTTAGTTGTTCCTTTTTTTCTTTTATTTTTTCTATTCTTCCTTAAGCTTCCTATATGATTTAATTTTTATTTCTTTCTCTTGGTTATACATTTTTAAAAATTTTAAATCATTTTAGTGGTTTTCCCTGGGTTTACAATGTACATTTTTAAAACAACCCATGTTCACTTTCAAATAGCACTGTATTGCTTTAGATGTAGTGCAGATATTTTAAAAGACTAATCCTAATTCCTTCCTCCCATCCCTTGTGACATTGCTGTCACTTAATTCACTTATCTCTATGTTCCTGTATATGTAAACATATATATGTATGTATGTTCCCAGCCAATTCATTCGAGATACTCCTTTTTTAAATCGGCTTTCTGCAATTTGAATATAGTATTTCTAGGTTTTTTTTTCACTAAATATTTACCTTTTTGGTGTTCTATGATCTTGAATTTGTAGTGTGTTGTCTGTCATTAATTTTGTAAAGTTCTTGGGCATTACTAATTCAAATATTTCTTTTGTCCTTTTCTCTTTTTTTAATCTTTTGGTATTTTAAGTATATGTACATTATACTTTTGATATTATTCTGTAGTTCTTGGATATTCTGTGCTGTGTCTTTGACATTCTCTTTTTTTCTATTTGTATCATATTTTGGAATGCTTCTATTCATTGATTTATTCCTCAACTGTGTTGAGTCTAGTAATGAACCTGCCAAAGTCATTCTTTATTAGTAATACTATTTTGTTTTTTAATTTTTAGCATATAAATTTGATTTTTTCTTTGCACTTTAATTTCTCTAAATAAGACCAGACATTACCCATCTGACTTTGCATAATGTTTACCTTTTCTATTAGAATCCTTAACATATAATCATAGTTATTTGAATACCATGTCTGATAATTCCAACACCTGTTTCATATCTTAATCTGATTCTGATTTTTTTTGTTTCTTTAATGTTTCTTATTTTTTTGTCACCAGACACTATATCTCACACTCCATCACTTAACAATGTATAACTGATCACTAATCAATATTATCTCTGTAAACCAATGAGAATTCCTTACAGAACTTTGTATAAAACACTCCCTGTCCTGTTTTTTTTTTCTTTTTTTGCCTTTAAAATCTGGTTGTAACAAACGCCAAATGGAGCTTATATCCAAGGTTTCTTGGGCCTGAGTCTTCCAGGCAGCCATCCTTATTTTGGCTCAAGTAAACTCTTTAAATCACTTTTTGTATTTCAGCCTCTTCCTTTTAGGTCAACCTATTTCTGGGATGCACAGTTTGACTTTTTAGTTTTTCCTCTTACATGAAACAAAAAGGATCGTGCTAGGGCAAAATTCCATACCCCAAATAGGATAATGTCTTAGAATCGTCATCTGGCAAATTCCGTACCCTTAGAGATTAGGCTTTTGTTAGGTAGAAGACTCTCGTAGGCTTTTAAACCTAATATGTAGTACTATGGACTTTAGTTAATAATGATGTACTCATAGTGCTTCATTTGCTATAACAAATGTTCTCATTAATGCAATATGTTAATTGGAGAAAACTGTAGGGGAAAAGAAAATATATGGGAACCCTCTATACTATCTGTTCAATATATTTGCAAACCTGAGACTATGCTTGAAAATATAGTCTATTAATTTAAAACACACACACACACACACACACACACACACACACACCCTTTATGGAATTCAGCAGAAGAGTATTTTAAAAGAAATATATGGCCTTAAATTTTTATTGTCAAAATAATGAAGGCTAAGCATTCATTATATAAGTATGTAACTTAAGAAATTAGAAAAAAACAGTAGAATAAATCCTTAAATAGGAAAAAGAACATAATAAACATAAGAGCAAAAAAAGTATGAAACAAACATGCAATATGCTCATTTTTTTAAAGATTAATGAAATACACAAAACTCTTAAGAAAATGACCAGTGAAAAGAAAAAGCACAAGTCAACAAAATTTTGAATTATACAGCATAAATGAAAAGAGAAGAGCAGGAATGAATCAAAAATTTCATCAAACTTGCTGAAAATTTAGAGGACCTGAGTCAATTTCTATGAAAAATATACCTTTCAGAAATTGACTCAAAAATCAAGAAAAAAACCCTTGATCTAAACCTAGTATAGAAATGCAAGCCACTAAAAAATTCTTTGCCCATGCCACCCTCCGTAGCCCAGCAGTAAATGTGACGATATGTACACAAACATCAGTTTTAAATAATTATGCAGGTAATAATACTTATGCAGGCATGATCCAAAATTGACAAATTGAACCTCATAAAAATAAAAAAATTTTGCCATGTTGAGAACTCTGTTAAGAGAATGAAAAGATAAGCTATGGACTGTGAGAAAATATTTGCAAAGCACGTATCTGACTAAGAGTTTGAATCAACAGTATATAAATGACTCATAAACCGTATCAATAAGAAATTCAAATATGAAATGGACAGAAAACATGAGCAGTTATTTCACAAAGAGGAAATACAGAGGAAATACAGTGCATGAAAAATATTCAACCCTATTGATCACTAGGGAAATACAAATTTAAACTATAATAATATATTAATATGTTACACACATATCAGAATAAATAAATTAAAAATACAGTACAAACACAAAATACTTTCAAGGATGTGGAAAAAAATAGATTGCTTTTACATTGCTGGTATAAATGTAAAATGAGAGAGTCTGGAAATTAATTTGGCATTTTATTTAAAAACTAAAAATGTACTGTGTCTACATCATAGAAATTCACTCTCAGGCATTTATCCTAGAGAATTTATCCTACAGTTTTTTGGCTTTACATGTAATAGTCAAAAAACTGTAACCCAAATATTCTTCAAGGGTGAATAGTTAAACTGAAGCATATCTATACCATGGAATGATACTCTGTAAGAAACAAAGTCTTATTACACACACAACTTGGAAGGATCTTTAGGGAGTTACGTTAAGTGAGAAAAGCCAATCAAAAAAGTTTACATAATGTATAATCCAATGTATCTGTGATTGTTAAAATAATGTTATTATATGGCTAGAAAACAAATTAGTAGCTTACAGAGGAAAAGGTTTTTGGGGGAGAGTTATAGTTGGCTCTAAATGGTAGCATGCAGTAAAAAATCAGTTCTGCACCTTGATTGTAGTGGTAGTTACACAAAGCTACACATGTAATAAAATTGCATAGAGCTGCACACACATATGTCGTGTGCATATAAATGGTTGTGTAACTGGTAAAATTTTAAAAAAGTCATGGATTGTACTAAAATCAGTTCTTATGTTTTTGATATTGTAGTATAGTTATACACGATACTAACAATGGAGGAGAGATAGGCAGAGCTCGTGGGACCTCCACGGATGTACTTGTGTGAATGTGTCTGTCTATATCGATACTTACCTATATCATCTGGTTGGTCTATAATAATATCAAAATAGAAAGCTTAAAAATAATATATCTCTTATAACAAGAAAATGTGACAAATATATTTTGAAGTAATTAAAATGCACTAAATCTGGAGCTTCAGAATAATCTGGTAACATAATGTATGAAATTTTCATTTTAATTAAATCATAACTAATTTTCAAAAATATTTACAGATATAAAATGTATTTTTTATATTATATGAGACCATATAATATGTTGTACCACACCACCTTAACAAAATTACTATTTTGGAATGTGGTCATTCAGGTAATGATAGATAGGTGTTGAATGTTTGTAACATCATTTGTTACCAACAATTTTGTATGAAAATGATTTTTAACTAACACATTTGCTTTTCATTGATACTATTAAATTTTGCTTGCATCATCATTTTTTACTATCCTTCCAATGATTTCTCCACTATTTAATATTTATTAAATCATTTCAAGCAATTATTTCTTAGTTGACAGTTCTTGAAATTCATTTTTAAATTTCCTCTAAGGCATTGTTCATATTGCCACATGTAGAAAGTTATGGTAAATGTGCCTATACAAGTTAAGTATATTTTTAAATTTTTGTACTTTAATATAATTACATGAATTCAAAACTCTAAGTGTTAAGAAACACATGTTCATTTTGAAAGGTCTTGATATAAGTATGTATTTCATATTCAAGTACCTTTTATTTATCTTATATTAAATGATAGTCATACTAATTTTTAGTGATCTTCACATGACACTCTAAAAAGTATTTCATATGTTTTATGTCACTTAATCATCACATAATCCTGTGATCTAGGTACAACTCACATATATAAAGTAACTGAGGCAAAGAGGATAGTAACTTTTTAAAAATACCATAGTAAGTAGAGGAAAAATCTTTTTAAGAAAAAGTGTCTAATGCTTTCTATGTGTGATGTTCATTTTGGCATACTAGAGATATAGTAGGGGCATAGGAAGAAAATAAAGCAAAACAAAATAGATAAAACAAAACATTGCCCATATGGAGCTTACATCTTAAGTAAAGAATTTTTTATTTTTTATTTTTCGAGGTATTAAAGTATTTTCTTCCACATTGATGCAAGTAGTTTCTGTAATTAATTTGTTCTCAAAACTAATTAATGTGTCTTTGTGCTACTAAGAAGTAGTAACCATAATTTTACTTGAAGGCAGAGACAAATGTTCCTCCCTGAAGCAGAGTCAATAATGTGATATTCTTTTGGGCCATGATCTCTGCCTTATCCCACATCACAAATTATCCTACTCAAAAAAGAAAATACCACTTCTTACAAAAGAATAATTATCTACTGTAACTTTAAATCCACAATTTGAACTGTGCTCTTCGTGTCAGCCTGGGGCTAATCGAGTTGTGGCCCTCCAGCATTCAGCACCATGGCCAGAGCACAAAGTTGGAAAAGGAAAACAGAAAATAGTCTGGGGGAAAAACCATGCACAGGGGGCCACAGGAAATAAGGTTTTCCTTTTTTCTACTTAATGTAAGCACCCTGAAATGAAAGATGTTGCCCATGTTATTTAAATGCAACTGACTGTGTCATACCAGGCCCTGCATGCCTGAATAAATGATGGTCTGGCAAGTTTCCCTTTGCTCTCTTTTGGCACATGCCATTGTTCCCACTGTTTATTTGTAAAAATATAGGCTGTTTTTGTTTGGTTTTGTTTTTTTTTTTTTTGAGGGGAAGATATCTCTATTAACTTTCAAGGATTATCCTGCTTTATATTCTGTTCACTATCTATAGCACATATTTCACAAAGTAGAATTTTCAATTAAAGAAATTCATCTTGTCTAGTTTGTACAAGTCAAAGTGATAAAGAACAGACTTTAGGTAATATAAAACAAATGCTGATTTACTAATTCAAGAGTTAAGTGTGTTCTCCAAGTGAACTGTTTATTTATTTGCTATATAAATCTGCATTTCTTTCAGATAATACATATGATATTAAATTTGGCAGCCGAAGAGTCCATACAAGATGAACTAAATCATGGTTGGTGTAAAATATTGCTTATTTTTCATTGTTTACTTCTCCTCTTCAGGAAGCAAGGCCAGTCTCTTCAGATAGTGGAATCTGTTCTCCTTTAATTTTTGTTTATGTTGTTTATAAAGGACTCATTTTACTGTTCATTTCTAAGGTGGGCATGCAACCTGGGCCTAGCCAATCAGATCTACGGATGTCAGATCCAAGCTGGGCCAATTACATCAGCTTAGTGTTAATTGATGTATCTGTAGTGAAAGAAATTTTTGTTCCTTCAAAGATCATAGGTGCCAAGAATAATATATTGGCAATACTGAAGCCCATCTTTACTGCTACATGGAAGAGAGCTCATTTGAGGATGAAGAAAAGGGAAACAAATCAGAGAGAAAGACCAGATATGCTAAATAAAGTTCTTCCTTTTATTTTTATTATTACTATTTTAAAAATGTTATTTGCAATTTATGTGGGTATATAGTAGGTGTATATATTTATGGGGTATTTGAGATACTTTGATACAGGCATGCGATGTTTAATGATCACATCATGATAAATGGGGTATTCATCACCTTAAGTATTTTTCTTTGTGTTACAAATCATCCAATTACACTCTTGGTTATTTTAAAATGTACAGTTAAATCATTATTGGCTATATTCACCCAGTTGTGCAATCGATTAGTAGCTCTTTTTCATTCTTTCTAACTACGTTTTTGTACCTATCAACTGCCCCCAATCCTACTCACACTACACCCCCTACTCCCACCCCCAATACCCTTCCCAGACTCTGTTAACCATCCTTCTACTCTCTGTGTTCATGTGTTCAATTGTTTTGACTTTTAGATCACACAAATAAGTGAGAACATGCAATGTTTATCTTTCTTCTCTCTGTGCCTGACTTAATATTTCATTTAACATAATGATCTCCAGTTCCATCCACGTTGTTGCAAATGACTAGATCTCATTTGTTATAGCTAGTTAGTACTCCATTGTGTATATGCACTACATTTTCTTTATCTATTCATCTGTTGATGGACCCTTAGGTTGCTTCCAAGTCTTAGCTATTGTGAACAGTGCTGCACCAAACATAGGAGTTCAGATATCTCTTCAATGTACTGATTTCCTTTCTTTTGGGTATATACCAAGCAGTGGGATTGCTGAATCACATGATAGTTCTACTATCAGTTTTCTGAAGAACCTCCAAAATGTTACCCATAGTGGTTGTACTAATTTACATCCCCACCAACAGTGTGCAAGGGTTCGCTTTTCTCTACATCCTCGCCAACATTTGTTACTGCCTGTCTTTTGGATAAAAGCCATTTTAACTGGGGTAAGATGATATCTCATTGTAGTTTGGGGATTTGCTTTTCTCCTATGATTAATAACGTTGAGCACCTTTTCATAGGCCTGCTTGCCATTTATATGTCTTCTTTGGAGAAATATCTATTTAGATATTTTGCCCATTTTCAAATTGGATTATTAGATTTTTTCCTTGTAGAGTTGTTTGAGCTCCTGATGTATTCTGGTTATTAATCCCTTGTCAGATGAGTAGGTTGCAATTATTTTCTCCTATTCTGTGGCTTGTCTCTTTACTTTGTTGATTGTATCCTTTGTTGTGCAGAAGCTTTTTAACTTGATGTGATCCCATTTGTCCATTTTTACTTTGGCTGCCTGTGCTTGTGGGGTGTTACTCAAGAAATTTTTGCCCAGACCAATGTCCTGTAGAGTTTTCCCAATGTTTATTCATAGTAGTTTCATAGGTTGAGGCCTCAAATTTAAGTCTTTGATCCATTTTGAATTGACTTTTTTGTGTAGAGCAAGAGATAGGGGTCTAGTTTCATCATTCTGCATACAGATATTCAATTTCCCCATCACAATTTATTGAAGATACTATTCTTTCCCTACCACATGCTCTTGGAAACTTTGTCAAAAATGAGTTCACTGTAGGCAGATGAATTTGTCTCTGAGTTCTCTATTCTGTTCCATTGACCTATGTGTCTGTTTCTATGCCAGTACCATGCTGGTTTAGTTACCATAGCTCTGTTAGTATAATTTGAAGTCAGGTAATGTGATTTCTTCAGTTGTGTTCTTTTTGCTTAGGATAGCGTTGGCTATTCTAAGTCTTTCGTGGTTCCATATAACTTTTAGGATTATGTTTTCTATTTCTGTGAAGAATGTTAATGGTATTTTGATAGCGATTGCATTGAGTCTGTAGATTGCTTTGGGTAGTATGAACATTTTAATAATGTTAATTCTTCCAGTCCATGAACATGGAATATTTTTCTGTTTATTTGTGACCTCTACAGTATCTTTCATCAGTGTTTTATGGTTTTCACTGTAGAGATTCTTCACTTCTTTGGTTATGTTAATTCCTGGTATTTAATTTTATTTGTGGCTATTGTAAATTGGATTATTTTTACATTTATTTTTCAGATTGTTTACTATTGATACATAGAAATGCTACTGATTCATGTATTTTGATTTTGTATCCTTCAACTTTAGTGCATTTGTTTATCAGTTCCAATAGTTTATTGGTAGTGTCTTTAGGTTTTTTTTTTTTAAAAAAAGGATCATATTATCTGCAACCAAGAATAAATTGACTTCTGCCTTTGCATTTGGATGCATTTTATTTTTTTTCTCTTGCCTGATTCCTTTGGCTAGGACTCCTAGTGCTATGTCAAATAACAGTGGTGACGGTGGACATCTTTGTCATGTTCCATATCTTAAAGGAAAGGCTTTCATTTCTTTCCCCATTCAGTATGATAGTAGCTGTGGATCTTTTGTATATGGCTTTTTTACGTTGAGGTTTGTTTCTTTTATGCCCAGTTTTTTGAGAGTTTTCTTTAATCATAAAGGGATGTTGCACTTTATAAAATGGTTCTTATGGATGAATTGAAATGATCATATGGTTTTGGCCTTCATTCTGTTGATATGATGTATCACATTGATTGATTTGTTTATGTTAAACCATCCTTGCATCCCTGGGATAAATCCCACTTCATCATGATGAATGATCTTTTTAATATATTGTTCAATTTGGTTTGCTAGTATTTTGTTGAGGATTTTTTGCATTAATATTCATTAGAGATTTTGAAGAGTTTTCTTAGTTTTCTAAGTAAACTATAGTTTTAAATTTTAACTATAGTTTTATAGCCTATAATTTTCTTTTTTGATGTGTCTTTTTCTGGTTTTGGTATCAGGGTAATACTGGCTTCATAGAATGAGTTTAGAAGTATTTCCTCCTTATCTAATTTTTGGAATAGTTTGAATAGAATTAGTATTAATTCTTCTTTAAGTGTTTGGTAGAATTCAGCAGTCAAGCCATCTGATCCTGGGCTTTTCTTTACTGGGAGACCCTTTATGATGGCTTCAATCTTGTTACTTGTTATTTCTTTGTTCAGGTTCTGAATTTCTGCATTTTTCAATCTTGTTAGGTTGTATATATCTAGAAATTCATCCACTTTCTCTAGATTTTGAAATATATTGGGATATAGTTTCTCATAGTAGCCACTAGTGATCCTTGGAAATCCTTCAGTATCAGTAATAATATCTCTTTTCAGCTCTGATTTTTGAAAATATAGGTGTCTCCTTTTTTCTTAGTCTAGCTAAAGATTTGTCAATTTTAATTGTCTTTCATAAAAGTAGATTTTCATTTTGTTGATCTTTTGTAATGTTTTGTTTCAATTTCATTTATTTCTGCTCTGATCTTTATTATTTCTTTTCTTCTACTAATTTTGGGGTTGATTTGCTTTTGCATTTATAGTTCTTCAAGATGCATCATAATGTTACTTGTTTGATGTTTTTCTTCTTTTTAATGTAGGCACTTATTGCTATAAATTTCCCTCTTACCGTTGCTTTTGCAGTATCCCATAGGTTTTGACATGTTGTGTTTTCATTTGTTTCAAGAAATTTTTAAATTTCCTTTGTAATTTTTTCATTGACCCACTGTTCATTCAGTAGCGTAGTTTTTAAATTTCCACATGTTTGTATAGTTTCCAAAATTCCTCTTGTTATTAATTTCTAGTTTTATTCTATTGTGGTCAGAATTATATTATTTCTTTTTTTTTTAGTATTTTAAGACTTGTTTTGTGGTCTAATATATGGACTGTCCTTGAGAATGATTTATGTGCTGAGGAGAATAATGTATATTCTACAGCTGTTGGATTAAATGTTCTGTAAATACCTTTTAGGTCCATTTGTTCTATACTGCAGATTAAATCTGATTTTTTATATTGATTTTCTGTCTGGAAGATCTGTCCAAAGCTGAAAGTGGCATGTTGAAGCCTCCAGCTGTTACTGTAGGCAGGTCTATATCTCTCTTTAGCTCCAATAATGTTTGCTTTATATACCTGGGTGCTCAGCATTGAGATGCACATTTACAATGTTTACCTAATTGCTAAATTGACCCCTTTATCATTATATAATTACATCCTTTGTCCCTTCTGATAGTTTTTGTCTTGAAATCTACTATGTTTGATATAAGTATAGCTATTCCTGCTCTTTTTTGGTTTCCATTGACGTGGAGTATCTTTTTCCATCCCTTTATTTTCAGTCTATATGTATATATTAATATATAGGTGAAATGTGTTTCCTTTAGGATCATTGAGTCTTACTTTTTTTATCCACTCAGCCACTCTTTATATTTTGAATGGAGAGTTTAATCTGTTTACATTCAATGTTGTTATTGATAAGTAAGTGCTTACTCCTGGCATTTTGTTGTTTTCTGGTGGTCTTTTGGTCTTCTCTCTCTTCATTTCTTTCTTTCTGTCTTTTTTAAATTGAAGGTGATTGTCCCTTGTGGTATAACTTACTTTCTTGCTTTTATTTTTTTTGTGTATCCAGTGAATGTTTTTTGATTTGAGGTTACCATGAGGCTTGCAAATACTATCTTAAAACCCATTATTTTAAAGTAATGACCACTCAACACTGATTGCATAAACAAACCAATAAGCAAAAAGAAAATGAATGAAAACTCTACATTTTAACTTCATCCCCCTGCTTTTTAAGTTTTGTTATTTCTTTTCATGTATTATGGTACTATGTCATGTAAAGTTGTAGTGATTATTTTTGATTGGTTCATCATTTTTTTTCTACTTAAGATAATAGTACTTTACACCTCACAATTACAGTGTTATAATATATTGGTTTCTCTGTACTTAGTGTTACCAGTGCTTAGTATTACTATTGCCATTGAGCTTTGTAACTTCAGATGATTTCTTCCTGATTATCAACATCTTTTTCTTTCGGATTAGAGAATTCCCTTTAGCATTTCTTTTGGAACAGGTTCAGTGTTGATGAAATCCCTCAGTTTTTGTTTGTCTGGGAAGGCCTTTAATTCTCCTTCATGCTTGAAGGATATTTTCACCAGATTTACTTTCTAGGTTAAAAGTTTTTCCCTTCACCACTTTAAATATATCATACTACTCTCTCCTGGCCTATGGGGTTTCCACTGAAAAGTCTGTTGCCAGATGTATTGTGGTTCTATTGTATGTTATTTGTTTCTTTTTTCTTGCTGCTTTTAGAATCCTTTTTAAAATCTTTGATCTTTGGAAATTTAATTATTAAATGCCTTGAGGTAGTCTTGTTTGGGTTAAACTTGCTTGGTGTTCTATAAACTTCTCATACTTGGATTTTGATATCTTTCTCTAGATTTGGAAAGATCTCTGTTATTATCCATTTGTATAAAATTTCTACCCCTATCTTTCTATTCCTCCTCTTTAAGGCCAGTAACTCTTGGGTTTTCCCTTTTGTGGCTATTTTCTAGATCCTGTAGGTATGCTTTGTTGTGTTTCTTCTTTTGTCTCCTCTGACTTTGTATTTTAAATACCCTGTCTTCAAACTCACTAATTATTTCTTCTGCTTGATCAATTCAGCCATTGAGTCTGATGCATTCTTCTGTATGTCAATTGCATTTTTTAATTCCAGAATTTCTGCTTGAGTTTTTAAAATTATTTCGATATCTTAGTTAAATTTATCTGATAGGATTCTGAATTCCTTCTCTGTGTTATCTTGAATTTATTGGAATTTCCTTAAAATGGCTATTTTGAACTCTCTGTCTGAAGTGTCACATAGCTCTTTTTCTCCAGGGTTGGTATTTAGTTCATTTGGCAATGTCATGTTTTTCTGGATAGTGTAGAATCTTGTGCATATTTATGGGTGTCTGAGCATTGAAGAGTCAGGTATTTATTGTAGCCTTTGCAGTCAAGGCTTGTTTGGGCTTGCCTTTCTTGGGAAGGCTTTCCAGGTATTAAAAGGAATGTGGGTCTTGTATTAGTTCGTTCTCACACTGCTATAAAGAACTACCTGAGACTGGGTAATTTATGAAGAAAAGAGGTTTAATTGACTCACAGTTCCACAGACTTAACTGGAAGCATGGCTAGGAGGCCTCAGGAAACTTACAATGGCAGAAGGCAAAGGGGAAACAAACACGTCTTACCATAGTGGAGCAGGAGAGAGAGAGTGAAGGGGGAAGTGAACATCCAGATCTTATGAAAACTCACTCACTGACAGGAGAAAAGCAAAGGGGAAGTTTTCCCCCATTATTCAATCACCTCCCACTGGGCCCCTCCCCCAACATGTAGGATTAAAGTCAGAGATGAGATTTGGGTGGTGACACAGAACCAAACCACATTAAGCCCCAAGCTCATAAATATTGTGCTTCTTACAGACTTGTATAGGTACCACCTTGGTTGTCTTGGATAAGATCTGGAAGAATTCCATGCATTACCAGGTAGTGACTCTTATTCTTTTCCCTTACTTTCTCCCAAATAAACAGAGTCTTTCTCTGTGCTGAGCCACCCGAAACTGAGGGTAGGGTGAAAAAAGCACCTCTTTGGCCACCACCACTGGGACTTCAATGGATCAAACCTGAAGCCAGCAAAACACTGGGTCTCACCCAAGGTCATCTATAAACACTACCTGGCTATTGCCTATGTTCCCTGAAGGCCACAGGGCTCTACAATCGGCAGGGGGCTGGGTGAGGGGGGAAGCCAGCCAGGTTTGTGTCCTTCCCTTTAGGGTGGCATCTTTCCATAAGCCCTGGGGAGGTCTAAAGATGCTGTATGGAATCCAGTGATTGAAGTCAAAAACATGAGAATTCTACCTGATTTTCTTTTCTACTGCAGCTGAGCTGACCTTCAAACCACAATAGACGGTCAGTCCTTCCCACTCTTTTTTCCCCTCTCCATTGGTAGAGGTGCCTTTTCTGGTGGCCACCACTATCACTGGGCCACAGGGAGCTCTGCCAACCTACCACTGATGTTTAATTAAAGGCCAATGGCTCTTCAGTCAGCTTGTGGTGAATGCTGCCAGACCCGGGACTCACCCTTCAGGGCAGTGGGCTCCCCAGCTTAGATCCAGAAATGTTGTCCAAGAACTTAGGCCCAGACTCAGGAAACCTAAGCTCCTGCTTGGTCCTCTTTCCTACTATGAATAAGCTGATATATAAGGTGCAAGACTGAGTCCCTTTTATTTTTCCCTCTGCTTTTCTTAAGCAGAGTGAGTGGCTTTCATCATAGCCATCACAGATGCAAATGTTCTGGGTTTCACCTGAAGACAGCATATCTCTGAGTCTCACCTAAGGCCCATGGCATACTACCTGGGCATCCCTGTTGGTAATTCAGGTCCTGAGGGCCATTTAGTCAGCATATTAAGAATCCTTCCAGGACTAGGTCCTTCCCTTCAAGGCAGCAGATTCCCTTTTGGCCCATGGTGTGCCTCCAAATGTCATCCGGGAGCTAGGGCCTAAAATGGGGGCCTCATGACTCTGCCCGTTGCCCTATCCTATGTGGCTGAGCTGGTATGTAAGATGCAAGCCAAAGTCCTCTTTACTATTTGCTCTCCTCTCCTCAAGCAGGAAGGAGTCATTTTTGTTGCTGTGAGCTACCTCAGCTGGTGTCTCACTATGAGCAGACATTACCCATCTGGATGCATACATATATATATATTTCTGGTTTAAGGTTACCACTGGACGTGCAAATACTATCTTGTAACTCATTATTTTAAGCTGATAACAATTTAATACTGTTTGCATAAACAAACGAAAGCAAAAAGAAAACTAATAAACACACTATATTTTAACTTTGTTGCCCCACATTTTACTTTTTGTTGTTTCTACTTATATCTTACTGTACTGTACTGTCTATGTCTTGAAAATTTGTTGTGGTTATTATTTTTTATTGGTTCATTGTTTAGTCCTTCTACTTAAGATAAAAGTAGTTTACACACCATAGTCAGAGTGTTATAATATTCTATGTTTTTCTGTGTACTTAATGTTGCCAGTGAGTTTTGCAGCTTCAGATGATTTCTTATTGATCATTAACATTCCTTTCTTTCTGATTAAATTACTCTCTTTAGCATTTCTCTCAGGACAGGTCTGGTGCTGGTAAAATCCCTAAGCTTCTGTTTGTCTGGGAAAGTCTATTTCTCCCTTATTTTTTGAGGAATATTTTTAAGGCCAGTAACTCTTAAATTTGCCCTGTTGAGGCTAGGTGTGCTTCATTGTTTTCATTCTTTTTTTCATTTGTGTCCTCTGACTATATATTTTCAAATAGCCTCTCTTTAAGCTCACTAATTCTTTCTTCTGCTTGATCAATTCTGCCATTAAGTCTCTGATGCATTCTTCTGTATGCCAATTGCATTTTTCAAAAACTCCAGAATTTCTGCTGAATTCTTTTTAATTATTTAAATCCCTCAGTTAAATTTACCTGATAGGATTCTAAATTCCTTTTCTGTGTTATCTTTTTGTTTGTTTGTTTGAGACAGTTTCGCTCTGTCGCCAGGCTGGGGTGCAGTGGCATGATCTCGGCTCACTGCAACCTCTGCCTCCTGGGATCAAGCAATTCTCCTGCCTCAGCCTCCAAGTAGCTGGGATTACAGGCACCTGCCACCATGCCCAGCTAATTTTTGTATTTTTAGTAGAGACAGGGTTTCACCATGTTCACCAGGATGGTCTTGATTTCCTGATCTTGTGATCCGCCCACGTCAGCCTCCCAAAGTGCTGGGATTACAGGCATGAGCCACCACGCCTGACCCTCTCTGTTATCTTAAATTTGTTTCAGTTTCCTCAAAACAGATATTTTGAATTCTCTGTCTGAAAGGTTACATATCTCTGTTTCTCCAAGACTGGTCCCTGATGGCTCATTTGGTTCATTTTTTTTTATTATACTTTAAGTTTTAGGGTACATGTGCACATTGTGCAGGTTAGTTACATATGTATACATGTGCCTTGGTTCATTTTTTGAGTTCATGATTTTCTGGATGGTGGTGATGTTTGTAGATGTTTGTTGGTGTCTGGTCTTGAAATGTTAGGCATGTATTGTAGTCTTCTTAGTCTGGGCTTCCAAGCATTCTTCTTGAGAATGCTTTCTAAATATTCAAAAGGACTTGGGTGTTTGATCTAAGGTCTATTTGCTTTAGGGGGCACCCCAAGCCCACTAACACTGTGCTTCTTGCAGACTTGTGGATATACCACCTTAATGGTATTGGAGAGCTGGACGAATTTTCTGGATTACTAGGCAAAAACACTTGTTCCCTTGCCTTACTTTCTCCCAAATGAACAGAGTCTGTCTGTCTGTCTGCTTCTCTCTCTCTCTCTCTCTCTCTCTCTCTCTCTCTGTTCTGAGCCACCTGGAGCTCTGGGTGGTGTGATGGTGTGACACAAGCACACCTGTGGCCACTACCATTGAGACTGCAGTGAGTCATACCTGAAGCCAGCACAGTACTGGATCTCAACCAAAGCCTGTTATATCCACTCCCTGGCTATGGCCTATGTTCACTCAAGTCCCTGGGTCTCCATAATCAGAAAGAGTCAAAGTCAGCCAGGCCTGTGTCCTTCCTTTCAACATGGTAAGTTCTCCCAGGCCCTGGACATGTACAAAAGCCAGGGACTAGAGTTAAACATCTTAGAAATCTACCTGGTGTTCAATTGTACTGTGGATGAACTGCCACTCAAACCACAGCATACTTTTCTTTCTATTCTTTACTTCTCTTTTGAAAGTCAGAAGCGCCTCATCCCTTGGCTGCCATAACCACAGGCCTATGGGGAGTACATCTACACTACCCCTGCTGTTTGTTTAATGCCCAAGGGCTCTTCAGTCCGCTTGTGGTGAATGCTGCTTGGCCTAGGACTCACCCTTCAGCACAGTGGGTTCCCCTCTGGCTGATGGCAGGTCCAGAAATGCCATCCAAAAGCCAAGTCCTGGAATTGAAGACCCCAAGAGCCTGCTTGGTGCTCTACCCTCCTGTGGCCAAGCTGGTATCTAAGACGCAAGACAAAATCCCCATTTGCTTATCTCAAGTTGAAGAAGTCTTGCTTATAGCCATCACAGTTGGAAAAGTGTCGCATCTCACTGGAAGCCAGCAAGCCTCAGAGTCTCTCCAAAGGCCCTTGATATGGTACTTCGGTATTGCTGCTGGTTATTCAGGGCCCAAGGACACTTCAGTTAGCATGTGATAAATCCTGCCAGTACTTCATCCTTCCCTTCAAGGAATCGGGTTCCTTTCTGGCCCAGGATGTGTCTAGAAATGTAGTCTGGGAGCTAGGGCCTAGAATGGGGA
Source organism: Homo sapiens (assembly GCF_000001405.40). Lineage (NCBI taxonomy): Eukaryota > Metazoa > Chordata > Mammalia > Primates > Hominidae > Homo > Homo sapiens. The sequence goes on along the minus strand of NC_000020.11, from coordinate 7,597,288 downwards.
CCTCATAACTGTGACCAGTGCCCTATACTGCTGTGGCTGAGCTGGTGTCCGAGATGCAAAACAAAGCCCTCCCAACTCTTCCCTCTACTCACTCATGTGGAGGGAAGGGCTATCTTTTGGAGCCTCTAGCTGTGCACCTGCGGTTAAGTGTGGAGTGGCATCAGCGCTCCTTTAGCAGATCTGGTTGATGTCTCAGTAGGTCACGTGCCCCCACCCCCTAGTCTACTGTCTCTGGCTCCAGTTAAGCACTATAACTTGCCTAAGAGTTGCAGTCCTTGTGGCTTAGACTGCCTTGCAAGTTTATAGCCCCAGAGCCCTTTAGTTCACAGTGGCAAGGCTTGCAGGAAGAGTTCCTACCACTGGGATTGGTGAGTCCCCTTTGGCTAGGGCTCGTTTAAATGCCCCTTCCATGGGTGGGCATCAGCTGAGTTTGGTCCTGTTTTGTTTTCTTTTATAATAGGACAGCACTAAGTTCAATGCCTTGCAAATGCTGTGACTTCCCTCTCCTCAGTGCCCCACAACACTCTCTGCACCACAACATTGTTGCCATGGGGATAGGGGAGGGGTGGCATCAGCAATTCAAGACTTTTTCTACCGCTTCAGTGCCTCTCTCAGGGACTTGAAGTTAAAACCAGTACTATGAGTGCCTTTTGTGTGTAGGTGGTTGCCAAATTGCTGTCCTTGCAGGGCAGATATCACTGGAGCCTTCCGTTTTGCCATCTTTCTCCATCTTTCCCTCCCAATTCTATTAAGCTCTCGGTCTTATTTGATAGCTAGTCATCTTGTTGCCCTTTGTTTTGTGAGAATGGACTTGTTATTTTAGATTATTAATTATTTTCTGACGATGTTGGTTATCTTATTTAGACTTTTGATTAAATACACTAACAAAAATATTCCAAAAACATTGTCTTTTTATCCAGGCAGGGCGACTTATGACTGTAATTCCAGCACTTTGTGAGGCCGAGGCAGGAGGATCACTTGAGCTCAGGAGTTCAAGACCAGCCTGAGCAAGATAGGCAGACTTTGTCTGTACAAAAAATTAAAAAAAAAAAATAACCAAACTTGGCGATACACATCTGTAGTCCCAGCTATTTGGGAGGCTGAAGCAAGGGGATTGCTTGTGCCCAGGAGGTTGAGGCTGCAGTGAGCTATGATAGCACTACTGCAACCCACTGTGGGTGACAGAGTGAGACCCTGTAGCCAAAAAAAAAAAAAAAAAAAATCGTCTTATTTATTTTTTTACATCATTGGTTTATGTTCTGATTAGCTTCCCTACCAAGCTTTAATTGCCACGCTGGGTGCCTTTCAAGGTAGATTTTGCATTTTTAAAGTACTCGAGACTTTAGTCAAGTGTAAGTGATGAATGCCAGCCACTCAGAATAGGCAGAGAGTGAGAAGAAATTATAGGTTGCTGAAAATTACTTATCTGTTCATGGTATGTTTTCTTATTTTCAAGGATTTTTACATATTTTCTATTTATAAATAACCCAAGTTTATTTTAGTGAGAATAAAATAAAGAAGGATTAAGCAAAAACACCCACTCCATGATTCTTGACACCAAGTTATTTGAAATCATTTTCACTCCTGTATCCTTTAAGAAACATAGTTTATTGAAGTAAAAAGAGGAAAAATAAAGCCCTGTATTCAAAATACACTATGAGTCCCAGGATTGCAGTTTTCAATATCTCTCCCTCCTTTTCATTTATTTTACACATAAACAGCATTGATAAATGTGGACACCCTAAACTCTTTACTAATAACTCATCTCATTCTATTTCTCTGAGTGTAATAAGGTTTAGTTTTCTAATAAAGAAGGAGAGTAATAAAACACCAAAAGCAATGGCAACAAAAGCCAAAATTGAAAAATGGGATCTAATTAAACTAAAGAGCTTCTGCACAGTAAAAGAAACTACCATCAGAGTGAACAGGCAACCTCCTACAGAATGGGAGAAAATTTTCACAACCTACTCATCTGACAAAGGGCTAATATCCAGAATCTACAATGAACTCAAACAAATTTACAAGAAAAAAACAGACAACCCCATCAAAAAGTGGGCAAAGGATATGAAAGACACATCTCAAAAGAAGACATTTATGCAGCCAAAAAACACATGAAAAAATAGTTATCATCACTGGCCATCAGAGAAATGCAAATCAAAACCACAATGAGATACCATCTCACACCAGTTAGAATGGCAATCATTAAAAAGTCAGGAAACAACAGGTGCTGGAGAGGATGTGGAGAAATAGGAACATTTTTACACTGTTGGTGGGACTGTAAACTAGTTCAACCATTGCGGAAGTCAGTGTGGCGATTCCTCAGGGATCTAGAACTAGAAATACCATTTGACCCAGCCATCCCATTACTGGGTATATACCCAAAGAACTATAAATCATGTTGGTATAAAGACACATGCACACGTATGTTTATTGCGGCACTATTCACAATACCAAAGACTTGGAACCAACCCAAATGTCCAACAACGATAGACTGGATTAAGAAAATGTGGCACATATACACCATAGAATACTATGCAGCCATAAAAAATGATGAGTTCATGTCCTTTGCAGGGACATGGATGAAACTGGAAATCATCATTCTCAGCAAACTATCACGAGGACAAAACCCAAACACAGCATGTTCTCACTCATAGGTGGGAATTGAACAACAAGAACACATGGACACAGGAAGGGGAACATCACACTCCAGGGACTGTTGTGGGATGGGGGGAGGGGGAGGGATAGCATTAGGAGATATACCTAATGCTAAATGACAAGTTAATGGGTGCAGTACACCAACATGGCACATGTATATATATGTAACAAACCTGCACATTGTGCACATGCACCCTAAAACTTAAAGTACAATAATAATAAAATAAAAAATAAATAAATAAAAAGGAGTAAAGAATTTACAAACTAACCAAATTTGAAACTATAACTGATGTTCTTAGTCTATGTTTTTTTCTCCAATCACTTCAGCAGATGTACAAGCATGCTCAAAAAACCCAGAGAAATCTCTGTGCACTTAGCAGGGGCACACTTCAGTGTGTGATCCAGATGGATCTACAGTGGTAAGCCATTAATTGTCCAAGCGGTTTCATAATTTTCTACTGTTTTGAAATCAACTGGACCTCATATCTCTGCCTTCAGTTCCAACTTCAAAATGTTCCCTTGGTAGGAATCCTACAAATGGATCCTTTTATTTTAATTTTTTACCTTTCTGTAATAATTCAGTCAGGTTTTACTAGACCAGAAAAGCAGGAGATGAGTTTTCCATAACCTTTTACTCTTGCCAGGAAATCTCCAGGCTTGGTTACATTTCTGTCTTTTGGTGCTAATTCCACAGCTTCTGTTTTTGATTTCAGTTGGACGATTTGCTTCAGTGTCAGGTTCATGACCTCAGTGAGCTCATGGGGCTCCCTCAAATATGACCAGGACATAGATTTGTAACTTGTTTGGTACATCATTTCCAAAATACCCATGTTCAGGCTTCCATGTTCCCCCAGGTGTAAGCCACTCTGAGGTAACCTATTATCCAAATTCGCAGATTGTTTATGAATCCATTTTTTTCCCAAATGTACTTACTATTCAGTGGACCTGCTAGGAAATCCAATAGTAGAGACTGGAATAACAGTCTTTGGATTCAGAGCTCCTGAGTTTGAACTCTGACTCTACCATTTACTAGCAAAGTGATGCTGGGGAAAATATTTCATATTTTTCATAACACTTAATGATTCAACAATCTGTGTTTCTAACTCCTATCAATAAAAGTTAAAAAATCTTAGTCTAGATTTCAAAGCCATCTGAAATATGACTCTATCAGATAGTTCTTCACCAAAAGCTGGCTTTCTCCCTATGTTATAAATTCCACTCAATTATGTCACCCATTATTTCTAAAGTGCTATTTATTCCTTCTCTTTTCTGCTCATATAAATACTTAGCCTATGTTCCAATACAAACTATACTTCCTTTATGATGTCCTCCAAGACTACTGGACCTCATATTTATATCCCTTTTCTCTAAACACTTAGGTTGTTTAAAATCAGTGCTTCATTACATTATGTAGTACAGAATTTTCTACACTTTTTTTTTTAATTTTAACACATTTATCTAGGAGGGAATAAAAGCTGATGCTTAATTAAGTTGGGAAATACTGGATTAAATGTAATTAAACAAGTTGCTTAGCGTCAAGATTTTTTGCAAAATATTCTTAATATATAATTTATTTGCAAAATAGGCTAATGCATAAAATACTTCCTAAAATTATTATTAGATAGTGCATTTTAGAAAACGAAGCTAACACTATTGATCAGCAGAACACTTTTTGGAGCATGGTATTCTAGCTTAATTTATTTCTTAAATTGTAATATCACTTTTCCTAAAGTATCCATTTCTTGAGGGTCTGCATAGCTACATTATGCTTAGAAAAATGAATTACCATTGTTAGGTAGTTATTAGAGACATGTGGAAAACACTGCAGATTCTGTCAACAAAAACGAAAATCACAAAGTGAAGAAAGAAATTAAAAAGTAGAAATTAAATGTATGTCTATTTTTTTTTTTTTTTGAGAGAGAGTCTCACCCTGTCACCCAGAGTGGAGTGCAATAGCACGATCTTGGCTCACTGCAACTTCTGCATCCCAGGTCCAAGTAATTCTCCTGCTTCAGCCTCCTGACTAGCTGGGATTAGAGGCATGCGCCACCACACTCCATTAATTTTTGTATTTTTAGTAGAGACAGGGTTTCAGCATTTTGGTCATGTTGGTCTCAAACTCCTGAGCTCATGATCTGCCCGCCTTGGCCTCCCAAAGTGCTGGGATTACAGGCATGAGCCACGGCGCATGGCTGAAAGTATGTCTACTTTGTGATTTTCATTTTTCAGTTTCTTTATAATCTCCAGTGGGGTTTAAACTCCATTCCCCTCTCAGTCATTAGCATTGATACATTCCGTATTTCTCAGAAGAACAAGGGAAGGAGAACCCTTATGAGTGATATAGATTAAAGGATTTATTGCCAGGTCCATCCCACAGACCCTGGCCAAGCAATGGATGAAAGGAGTATGCAGACACAGGTATGCAGTGAAAGAGCAGCTAGGGGACTGCTGAAGAGTGAGCAGCCTCAATAAGCTGGAGCTGCTTGCTTTCATTTAGTACAGACATAATGCCGAAAGCCTGGAGCCAACACAATCTGTGGGTAATTAACATTATTGTTCTCCCTTTCTGGGGTCAAAATTTCTGGTTAACATAGGTAAACAAGCTTATTTGCACTAAATTCCACTATGCTTCCTTGTATCTACTCCTTGCCCTCTGCCTCAGGGTACGAGAACAGCTGCCTTCAGCTTATTCTCCCCCAAAGCTATACACAGCCTTCTGAACTTTCAGAAGGCCTGCTCATATCTCGGTAGCTTCTCCCACCACTATGACTGAGCTCCTACAATTTATTATAAGCATGATATCTCACACAATTATGGAATCTGGCAAAAAAGTCTAAGAAAAGCTATTGCCTATGTATTTGGTGGTGGGCACAAAGTTGCACTAGGTTAGGGCTAGTGGAAAGAAACCTGGGCATGAAGTAGGAAAGAATGAATACAAATTCGAGACAGAGAATAAGGACACCAAGCAGACATTTGTTCAAATAATAGGACAAACCAGAACCCACACGGACAAACTGGGAGCACATGTCTACCAGTGCCTTCAACCTTGTCAGTGCAGTAGCTGGCACCATTTGTCTCCCAGTTGAGTTCCTGACTCAGAACTCAAGAGACCTCAATAGGAGAGACTCAGCATGGGCTGGAGAAGCTATTGACTCATACTAGCAAGGTGAATATCCATTGTCCTACAAAGACCTTTCAAATCTGTGTAAATTTTTCTTATGGCCAACCCCAATTTGTAACCATCTAGGCCACAACATTCTGGAAAATAAAGTTTCTTATTTAGCTAGATTGACACAGTGAAAAACACGACATGATAGAGTCATAAGGATGAGAAAAGATATTATAGTCAATTATCTTTCTCTTCCTAGCCTGCAGAGGAGAAAACAGAAACTCAAGGAGGTTGTATTTTGTTCAAAAATTATAGTTAACTAGGGTTGGAGTGGAAAGATGAGTTGATAGTTCTGATTCCCAGTCTATTACTCTCTCCTGCTGTTTATTTAGGAATTGAAATGGTCTAGAATAGGTTTTGTAAATTAATATACTCCTACAGCTTCTGAGGACTTCACTTAGTGGGACATAATTTTATATGACCAGATGTATCTATATCTTTTCCTGTGGCCATTGCCTTCATTTCTCTTTTCAGCAAACACACGAATATTACAAATGAGTAGTCCAGGGTCTGTTTTATTACTCATAAGGTAAGCATTTCTACCATACCTAAATTTCTAGTCTAGGGTTTCTCAGTCTGGGAACTCTTGACATTTGGATTTGGATAATGATTTGTCATGTATGTGGATGGGGGACAGGGACTGTCCTGCGTACCATAGGATTTAGCAATACCATTGGCCTCCACCCACTAATACTAGGAGTTCCCCTTCAGTTATGATAATAAAAAATGTCTGTAGACACTGATAAATACTCCTTTGGGGTGAGGAAACAGGAACAAATTTTCCCTTGTCGTGAATTACTAGTGTAGCAATTATTTTATTTAGAAAAGCCAAACCAATCTTTTCAAGCACTATCTGTACATTGAAACAATATTTTTTTCAAGCTGTAAAAAAGATTCCATTCTCTGAATCCTATGCTAGACCCTTTCCAACTACTTCCATTGTGAAGCTATTTTTGTTCCTGCTGAGAATTCAACCTATTCTGCAGTAAGAGTGTACAAAGCAAGCAGTGATATCCTCTATGAAATTATTCTGTGCATTTCTTATATAAAATTATTTATTTAGATAATATCCTGGAAAATTTAATGATAAAGTTGAGAAGTAGGATCAGATGTCATACAAAATAAAGACCTGCTTAGGACATTACCTCTTTCTTATTTTACAAGGTGTACTGAGGCCTCTTTCAGAGCCCGCATACCTTCACATGCATTAAGCCACAGCTGTGGCACATCAAATTGCATGTACTCTAGGGAGATCTTGATACAAGATCAACTAATACTAGTAATAGGGCCCAAGATATTTTATCTTTCTAGCTGCAGTTTTCTATCTTTTCAGTAACGTATACAATAATAAAGAGATGTCATTAAAAATAAACTTGTTTGTTTCAGTCAAAATAAGGCCCTGAATGCAATGTTTACCTTTATCCTCCAAAAACACAAGAACTAAAAAAGAGTTGATGAAGATGTAAAATTTCTTTGGTAGCTTTTTAAAACCTTCCCCTTTGCAGACTCCACTGGCATTTTTATTTTTTAATATGATCATCATATATTTAATATCTGCCAATGACTCCCCACTAACCCTTCAAGTTGGGGAAGGGTTTCCATGCCATGAGCTAGAAGACACTACTTGGTTTGGACTACTTATATCTTGACCTTATTTTCCATCACTCTGTCTTTTGAGAACTATATTTTGGCTAAACAGATCTTTCTGTTCCTCAAGATCTAACAACCTTATTACCTCTGTTTCTGCTCTTCCTTCTGCCTGGAAAGATATCTTTTCTTCTTTTCAAAGTTAGTTCCCCCTAATACTCAAGTCTGCTGAAAATTAAAATTTCCAGGATCCCCCTGATAAATTCTGATTAATTGGTCTGAGGTAAGGCCCCCAAAATTGCATTTTAATAAGAACCTGTGGCAATGTTGAGGTGGACAGTGCACTCTACACATTGAAGAGTCCTAATTTCAAATTCTTAAATAGTGCAGTTGCAGTTCTTATAAGCAGTTGAGACTTCCCCACTTCCATAGAAATGAGTTCTGGAGAAGACATTGTCCTGAGGTCTTAGCTGTAGCTAGAAAGAAGTAGCAAACCCACAGCAAAATTCCACCTAGTCAGCATTTTAAATTTTGTGACAGCAGCTTCTTCGATGAAAAATGCCTGACATTTTGTGTTGACCAAACTCTCATCTCTTCCTACCAAAACTAAGTTGTGATTCCCTAAAGCTTTTTTGTAAAACTATATTTGATGCATCTTTGGATTTAAGGAAAGTAGGTCTTTTTACCCTTATAAAATTTTGGCCTATTCATTTTCTATTGGTTCAACTTCTACCTTTTGCTTGATAGTGTGATTAAATGTCTCCTCTCAATGAAACCTACTATATGCCTCCCAGGACAAGTTTAAAACTTCTTTATTTGTTTGCCTATAATAATTTATTTAAAACTCTATTCAGCTTTCACTCCAGTGGTGAGGACTTCCATGTATACTCTAACTGAGCCCTCCTGTCTTTCTTTATCCACTTGCCTTGATTTATATGTCATAAAAGCTGAGAGCACTATGTGACATTATATTTGTATTTTATCCATTTATTTACAGTCTTTTCTCCCACTCCCATTATAATATAAACTCCAAGAAGAGGGGAAACTTTGTTGTTGCTTATTGCTGTGTGCCTAGAACATAGTAGGAGCTCAATACATATTAATAATAAAAAAATCTTTTCTTTAGCACTTTATTTTAAAATTTTTCTGTCCCTATATCTCATTTCTTCTGAAGAATTTTAGATTCCATTAACACTATCAAAATCTAGAATAGTGCTTGGCATATAAAATTATAGAATACATCCTTACTGAAAAATTCAATGTTTCTTTTTTTAAAAATTGTTATATTGCAATTAACAGATTATTTCATGTGAATGAAGTTGGTTGAGATGGGGCAGAGGTCTCAAGGGACACTTTTACAAAAGTCTGTCTTCTAAGATGTAACCAATGTGATATCCCGGGGTGTAGCTGGAAGATTCATTTTTCCTTTCCATGTATTTGAACACAAAATAGATTACTATTAATAATTACTGACAACATAGTGGTCGAAATGAGGCCATAAAACATTAACTTCAATTACAAAGGGCTTTTGTGTTAAACAAAACAAAAGAATTCTGAAAAGAGCATCAAGGGGAAATATGTCACCGTGTGGCTGCTCTGCTTTATAGTTGAAGCTTTACCTGAGGTAGTGGTTCTCAAGCTTTTCCAGATGATGGACTGGAAAGGAGAGCTCTTTCCCCTCACCTATTCTTAAGCTCACCATGTTAAGTTCTCTGAGGTATGGGACCCATGACCACTTCAATCTAGCCTTCACTTCAAACCAAGAGAGATTACTAATATAGAGAACCCTGAGATTGGCCCTGGTTTTTCATTCCGACTGGTATGGATGATGGTAAAGGAATGTAAGGTAATGAAGGTAATGTAAGCTTAGGGAGAAATCAGAAATTTGTAAATGCATGACATTTGTAATTGCATGAAATTTGGAGGTAATAGAATCATTTTAATCATTTTTTATTGATAGGAGCTACAGAAATTAACAAGCAGTGGCTCACGCCTGTAATCCCAACACTTTGGGAGGCTGAGGTGGATGGATTGCTTGAGCCCAGGAGTTGGAAAGCTGTCTGGGCAACATAGCAAAACCTGGTCTCTACAAAAAATGCAATAAAAAATTAGCTGGGCATGGTAACATGCACCTGTAGTCCCAGCTACTCGGGAGGCTGAGGTGGGAGGATCATCTGAGCCTGGGGAAGTCAAGGCTGCAGTGACCTATGATCATGCCATTGCACTCCAGCCTGGGCATCATAGTGAGACCCTGTATCAAAATTTTTTAAAAAATTAAAAGAAAAGAAAAGAAAAAAAGAAATTAACAAGACACTTCCTACTCACCATCTCCCTGGTTGAAATCCTAGCATAGATCTCCTACTGCTAGAACAAGGCCGGCTATTGGTCCTTCTGAGTGTACCTCTCTTTGCAGATATAGTTAGCCTGACCTCACACTGCCATGCTCATATCAATGCTTACTCCTTCTACTTTTTTCCCAGTTCAGACTCTGGAACCAAAGTCTATAAATGTATATTTCAAACTTGCATTTCCATTTACTCATTGTAAGTGAGACTATAAACCTTATTTACTTAACTGATGCCAACATTGGTTCCTGTCTTTTAAATTGAAGTTTGTTCTAAGAATCAAATAAAAGAAATATAAATGAGTAAGTCTGGCACATATTTGGCCTTCTTTTTTTCCATCTATATTATGATCTCCATTATTATGAAAATCTCTATTATCAATTGATTGTTTAATCTTTTTTCTTTTTAGACACTTACATTGTCATATATGCAAGTGAGGGTGAAAAAGTGTGCCTATAACTCCAAACCTACTTCATTTCCTATAAGCTTACATATCACACACATATACATCTATGTAGAGACACACATATATATGCACATATATGTATATATACATATGTGTGTCCATAGGTATCTTTTGTTTTATATATATAATTTATTATATACCTATATAAAATTCAAGAGAGTCCTATTGTTAACACTCATTATTTCACATACTGTCCCACCTGATGCAATGGCACTTGCAACAGTGGATTAGTTTGGCAAAATAAAAGCTAATTCAAGTGTATTTTCCTAGTTCCCCTATAGTCTTACTAAGTAAATTTCTCAATTGGTAAGTTAAGATTGTCAAAGCTGTGAAAAGAAACTTGAGATTTATTGTTGCCCATTTTGGTAAATGTGAAGTAATTTTTTACTGCTACTGTCATCAAAATCATGGAAGGTTTTGGAGTGTGTCTGGGATGGAAACTATTCTTACCGTGGGGAAGAAGTACACAGTGTACTTTATGTAAAGTCTATTGCTTCAATTCTCATGCTCTGTCTTCTGCCAGAAAATGAGGTAGTTTGCCATTGAGAGGCTTGAGGAGTGCCTAAATGTGACAAATGATCTGATTTTCAATAAACGTAAACAAAATATGACAATGTCTAATCTAAGCTTTTAGGAGAAGCTTCAGATGAATATACTAGAAAAAATAACCCTAACAATGGTGAAAATTCAAGGGTATTTCAACTACATTCTAAGATTTTTCTTACTCTCTTTGCATTTCAATTCTCTAATGACATCATGGGTAATTTGTATCACATGTACACCAAGAACTATATGAATGTCGGCAATGCCCTCTGGCCAGTATTCAATGGTAAACAATGATGTAATATATATCATAATTTCAGTGTTATTGTCTCATGGAATGAAACACCTGTTTAGTAAAAAAAAGCGAAATAACTGGGCTATTGAATGTTTTGTTTGCTTGTTTTTTCTGAAACAGCTTGGCAGCTTAAGGAAGCGTGCAAATGAAGAAATCACAGAACTTCTTAAGTATTCACCCATATAATTTATATATGAAAAGAGTAATTCTTGAATAACTTTTAAATAACAGCCACAGACTGCAGCAAGACTTCTAGCTGGGTATAGTACCTCCACAATACCAATACATCAGCAAATAATCTTTTGCATACACTTCCTAATTTACATGATCCTTGTTTAATTCCTCTTGCCTGTTAGATTTCTAACTCCAGAGATTTCAACAAGGAAAGTTTGTAGCTAAAAATAGCTCAATAAATTACAGATTTCTGTAGTTGGAAATAGAAAAAAAATGGTTCAGATGTACTTAAATCAATGGGAGGATCAGCAGCAAGCATTTTGCAACACTTCACAAATAAAACAGAAAAATTGGTACTCTTTGTGGCAAATTATTAGTGATGGTCTTGCTCATGAACTTTACTCTTTTGCTAAATTGGGACTCTATGTGGGCGTGCGGGTGACTCGATGTTGCCCAATATTTTACTTGGCTGTTCAGTTCTCTAGTGCCCTGGTTGCAAGAAGATTCTTCCCTGTGACGGAAACAGAGTGCTGCAGATCAATGAAAGCTCCCTTTCTGGTATACTGTAGCTACCACTCCTCTGTTATGTTAAGGATGAATGGAACCTGACACACTGTTTCTCAATCTCAGGAGAGTCATATTGCCACACAGTTGAAAGGTGCAAGGAACGGCTGTGTAGAAGAAAAGAATGGAGTAGCTGTTTAGTCAAATAGCAACTCTTAGGTGACTATTCCTGTTGGGCTCCTAAAAGCTGTTTCTCTCTGGTCTTGTTATTGAATGTGAATGTGGGTCACGGAAGCAATGCCATCTCCCATTCACACAGCTCAAAGCCAAAGTCCAGTTCCTTGTTTGTCTTCCATGTAAACAGGACAAATTGCTTTCTCTGCATGGTGTAATTTCATTGAAACTTTATATTCTGTTAGGTAAAGGACTCTTATTTTTCCTTCCTATTCATTCAGCAAGCACTTCATGTCATTTCAGGCACCATCTGGTAACAAGTAGTATGAGGGGAAATGAACTATGCAATAAATATGGCTTACATTTATTGAGAGCTTCTTATGAGCCAGGCATTTCTGAGCTCTTCACATGTATTAACTCATTTAATATACCCATGAGATAGGTATATTATTATGCTTATTTTACAAATGAGAAAAGTTAGGCAGAGAGGGATTAGCCAGTGGTGGAGCTGAGAGTTGAACCCTGACTCTAACCATAGATGCTACTTTGTTAATTATAGAATGGCAGTTTGCTTTCATTCTAGGGGTTAAGGGTCTATATTCTTACAGCAGCAGGAAACTAATGATTAAAATCTTGTATTTATTGATCTGGCTCTTGCTTATAAGACTACACACTTTGTAACAATTTAATAATCTGTACATTTATGATATGTGCACTTGTAAATATGGCTTCAATGCATAATTTAAAATTGAAAAATAATAATCATGGATGCAAAGCTGTGGCAATGTAGAGCAGCCTGTGTGCGTGAATGCTGGAGGCAAATCTTTAACATGATGGCTGTAAGACCTGTAATCAAGAATGTCTGTGTGCATGGTCCTAATCAGTGTTATCACTGTGAAACCAGACATGCTCGAAAATCTATCCATTAGTATATATGTTTTACTATCAAACCCTTAGTGTCATTCTTTCTAGGAAGAAGCAAAAGAAACTTACATTAACTATTATAGATTAAGAGACTAAATCAAATCATATGATTCAAGTTTAAAAATTTGGTATGAACTTTCACTTAAATCTATACCTCTCTCCAATACTTCTTTGCGCTCTTAAAGTGCCTGTGCTTAGAAGTAGTAAGGCACTTAAGATTTGGCTTTAACCCACAAAACTAGGAGGTAAAATTTCCACAGGGATCAATGATAAGTGTAAGCCTTTTACTCCCAAGAAGAATCTAGTATCAGCATAATCTTTAAAGAAATTATTCTTAGCCTTGGTTTTCCAGAATCTGGTAGAGTAGTGGCCCAGTTCTACTCTCAACCTTGCTATTCTTGGACCAATACTTAACACATTTTCTACCATGAACTTAATAGTAATAACTAATTCTGACAATGATCAACATTTGTTGAAAGTATACTATATACTTGGGCTTAACTAGGTACTTATATCTATTATCTCATTTAATATTTGTGTAAACTCTTGAGGTGAGTATTCATGATAATTAATTTTGTGTGTCAACTTGACTGGGCCATTGTGTGCCCAGATATTTGGTCAAACATTTTTCTCAGTGTGTCTCTGTAGGTGTTTTTGGATAAGACTAACATTTTAATCAGTAGACTGAGTAATGTGATTGGCCTCCTAATGTAAATGGCCTGTATCCACACAGCTGAAGGCTGGAATAGAGCAAAAATCTGACCTGATCATAAATAAGTAGGCATTCCTCTTGCCTGACTGATTGAGCTGGGACAATAGTTTTGTTGTTGTTGTTTGTTTGTTTGTTTTCCTGTCTTCTGACTCAAATTGTAACATCAACTACTCCTGGGTTTCAAGCCTGCAGGCTTTTGAGCTGGAACTTATACCATCAGATCTCCTGGGTTTGAAGCCTGTAGATTGAGACTGAAACTGACACCATTGGTTCTCCTGGTTCTCAGGTCTGTGGATGTGGGCTGAAATGATACTATTGGCTTTCCCAGGTCAACAGCTTGCTGACTGCAGTTCTTGAGACTTCTCAGGCTTCACAATCATGTGAGCCAATTCCTAAATATGTATGTATATATATATTTAGGAATATATATATATGAAGATATATATATATATATATATATAAATCTAATGTATGTGTATGTGTGAGTTTGTGTGTGTACATAATTGCCTATTATTTTATTTCCCTGGAAAAGCCTCATCCAGATTTTGGTACCTAGAATGGTTTTACAGGAACAGAATTTTAGGCATGAGTTTTATGAATTGGTTCTGGAATTCCTGGAAATGGCTCTCTTATCTGATTAGGTTTAAAGGCACTAATAACACTATTTCTAGGAGTTAAGAGAACACAGATAGTCCATGGCCCTGAAATGGCAAAAGGGATAAACAAAATATCACCATTGGTTACTCCTTACCAACCATTTATAAGGATCAAGGACTTGGGGAATTGTGTCTATGATGCTTTTGAACGTTCTTGGCAAACTAATGAATAGTAGGTTGACATGATTCTCCTAATAATGTTGCTGGAAAAAGTGGGAAAAATAAAGAATTAGCTTAGGAATTTGAGTTTCCAGCTTAAATGCTACATAAATGATCTGACAGCTTTTATATCTGCCCCAATGGAGACCTTGGTCTCCTACAGCTGTAGGGTTGAGATGCTGAAAACTAAAATCAGGCCTTCATCTTGAATTACAGTGCAAATAGACCCAGATTTGTAGGATGTGCACTGTTGAAGTGAGGGCACTGATTGGGAAAGAATGACATGGATAGGGAAGGAAAGTTGAAATGGGGCTATGTGGGAAGATCCTCATGAAATTGGGAACATTGAGCCCCTAAATTTTTCTTGCCAGCGGAAGAGACCTCTTCCTCCCCATTGGGAATGTGGCTTCTGCACTCTCATCTAAGGGGATTAACTATGATTGTCTGAGAAAACAACAATGACATCCCCTGAAAAAGTTGCCATAAAAGTAAGTCCTCGCTGTCCTGCTAAGAACCCACACTTTTAGCCTAAGAATGCATTTTGGAAAAAAAATACAATAATTAATATAAAAAGAAAAGGTAAAGAACCCACTGTCTTTGTTTCTGTATCTATACCAGACTTAAGGTCTGGTAGGTCTCTAAAGGCAGGTACAATGTGTTACACACAAAGAGGTATACTACACTCAAAATATCCACTTGGTTTTCTAAATATGTAGAAAGAAATCTGGGGAACATGGGTAGGAATAGATACTAAAGGTATGGGATAATAGTAGAAGAAACAAAGTTGCATCAGACAAAATTTATGGATGTGGGTCTACAACAGGCGGCTGACAGTAATGTCAGACCTGCCTGGGTTTACTGTGGAGGAGGGGATTCAAAGGCCTAGGGAGATTAGAATGTCGCAGTGAGTTTGTCATTTAAAACCAACTCGCTCACACTGGGAGGATACAGAAGACATACCTTTCACCAATACTGTGAGAAATAAATTTGTAATGGAAAACCTAACATGATTTAAGTGCTCTGTGACTGTTCTTCTCTATAGGCCAGACTCTGCAATGGGAACTGCTGTCAGTAAATTGGAAAACCTAAATACAATGTGAGTAATTGGATCCTGGGGTGCCAGGGGTCAAGTGGTGGCACTCAGCGGCCCAAGTCAAGGTAGAAGTAGTTACTGTGAAGGACAGCAGAGATGAAGCAGCAATCAGAATAGTCTGACTTGCGCAGACCTCTGGTGTTGGCTAATTTACCATGGATGGTCCTTGAAGTGAAATAAGTAGAAAGCATACTAAATTCTTATTTGATCTGTATAAGCAGAAAATTTCTAGGTTAAGTTACCAAAAGTCTAACCTGAATCACGAAAACAGAAAGACATGGCCCCCCGCCTCGATCGATTTCCAGACTTGAGCCAGTTTAAAGACCCAGAATCTTTTGAATAAAGAGGAATCTAGGTCCACTTATGGAAAGATCTCTGTACACTGCCAAAATTTATACTGTTATTCTTTCTCCCAGCCCTCCTCAAAGTAACCTATGGTCTTTAATAGAGTAATTATATACTGGGAAAAAGGAAATAACCAGATCTTTCAATGACTACAAGATACTGGTTGAACTAACACTAATCCCAAGAGATCTCAAAATTAACTATGGTTCATCAGTCAAGGTACAGACTTATGAGGATCAGATGATCAGTGGAGTTTTAGCTTAAATCTATTTCACAGTGAGCTCAGTGCATCTCTGAACCTATTCTGTGATTATTTCCTCAGTTATGGAATGCATTATTGCAGTTGATCTACTCAGTAGTTGTCTTAACCCCCACTTTGGTTCCATTACCTATGGAATGAGGGCCATTAGGATGAGAAAGTCTGATTGGAATGCAGTAGGATGGCCTCTACTTAGGAAAATAGTAAACCAATAGCAATACTGCATGCCTGGAAGAATGGTAGAGATTAGTGCCACCATCAAGATCAGAAAGATGCAGGGGTGTTTATTCCCACCACCTTTCCATTCGACTTGTCTGTGCAGAAGACAGATGGATCTGGGAGAATGATAATGAATTATCATTCTCATGTTTGACCAGATGATGACTACAATTGAAGCTGCTGTACCAAATGTAGTTTCATTACTTGAATAAAATAATACATCCCCTGGTACCTGACATGTAGCTATTGATCTTACAAGTTCCTTTTTCTCCATTTCTGTCAACAAGGACTATCAGAGGCAGTTTACTGTCAGCTGTCAAGGCTAGAAATACACCTTCACTGTCCTATCTCAGGTGTATATTAACTCTCTAGCCCTAGGTTATAATTTAGTTTGCAAGGATCTTGATCACCTTCTCCTTCCAAAAGATACCACACTGGTCCATTACACTGATGACATTATGCTGATTGGACCTAGTGAGCAAAAAGTAGCAACTATTCTAGGCTTACTGGTAAGATATTTGCATGTCAGAGGGTGGGAAATAAATCCCACAGAAGTTCAGGATTGAACATAATGAAATTTCTAAGGGTCCAGTGATATGTGGAATCTCAAGATATCCCTTTTAAGGTGAAGGATACATTGTTGCATCAGGATCGTATTACAAAAAAAAAGAAAAAGGCATAACGCCTAGTGAGCTTCTTTGGATTGTGGGAGCAACACATTCCTTATTTGGGTGTTTTATTCTGGTACATTTACTGAATGGCCCGAGATATTGCTAGTTTCTTTTGTGGGGCCCAACTGTTATGCAAACTGTTATAGGTCCCAGCTGCTTTGCAAACTGCTCTGCCTCTTGGGCCATATTATTCAGCAGATCCAATTGTTCTTGAAATGTCGCTGGCAGATAGGAATGCTATTTGGAGCTTTGGCAGGACCTGATAGGTGAGTCACAGCTCAGGTGCTTAGTCTGTGTCTATTGCCTCATGGGAATTTCCTACAATCAATCGACAGAGGAGGAGAAAACTCAGGTCTGGTTTATATATGCTTCTTCACTGTATGCAGAAAACACCTGAAAGTAGACAGTTGCAGCACTACAGCCACTTTCTAGGACATTCCTGAATGACACAGGTGAAGAGAACTTCTCCAAGGGGTTAGAACCACAGAATTGCATCTGATTGTTCACTTTTCTGGAAGGAGAAATGGTCTGATATGAGATTACATACCGAGTCATGGTCTGTGACCTATGGTTGGCTGGATGATCAGGAAATTGAAAAAAACATGATTGATAAATTAATAACAAAAAATTGGGGGAAGAACTTTCTGTATAAACACATCTAAATGGGAAAAATCATGGAGGCATTTGTACCCCATATGAATGCTTCAAAAGAAGACATCATCAGATGATGATTTTAATAATTTAATTGACAGAATGATCCATTGTATGGATACCAGACAATTTCTTTCTCCAGACCCTTTCATGACCCAGTGAGCTCATAAAAATGTGGTTATGGTGTGAGAAATGGAGGTGATGCATGAGGTCAGCAAAATCAACTTCCACTTACCAAGGCTGACCTGGCTACAGCCACCACTGGGTATTCAATTTGCCAGTAGCAAAGAACAACATTGAGTCTTCAATATGGCACTATTCCCCAGGGAATTAGCCTGCTACCTGGTGGCAAGTTGATTACATTAGAATGCTCCCATCATGGAAGGGGCAGTGTTTTGCGTTTATTTGGATAGACATTTACTCTGGATACAAATTTCTCTTCCCTACATGCAATACTTCTGCCAAAACTACCGTCTATGAATTTTCAGACTGTCTTTTTCACTGATACATTGTCTTATTCCACACAGCATTGCTTCTAATCAATACACCCACTTCACTGCAAATGAAGTGTGGCAATGGGCCCATACTCATGGAATTCACTGGTTTTACCATGTTCCCCACCATCATGAAGCAGCTGGATTGGTAAATCTGTAGAATGATCTTTTGAAGACTCAGTTACAGTACTAGGTACATGACAATGCCTTGCTGGGCTGGGGCAAGTTCTCCAGAAGGCTATATATCTGGTCTCAATCAGCATCCAATATATGGTGTGGTTTCTCCCATAGCCAGTGTTCATGAGTCCAGGGTTGCAAGTGGGAATGGCATCACTCACTATGACCCTTAATGACCCACTTGCAAAATTTTTGCTTTCTGTTTTCATGACTTTATGATCTGCTAGCCTAAATATTTTAGTTCCAAAGGGAGGAGACATTTCCACCAGGAGACAAAACAGTGACTCTATTGAAGTGGAAGTTAAGACTCCTGTCCAGGGA
Organism: Homo sapiens; assembly: GCF_000001405.40. Classification (NCBI taxonomy): domain Eukaryota; kingdom Metazoa; phylum Chordata; class Mammalia; order Primates; family Hominidae; genus Homo; species Homo sapiens. Next base: position 7,578,695 of record NC_000020.11, on the reverse strand, counting down.
CTTTGGTTTCCTGCTGCCTCTAAATCAACAGGCAAAGAAGGGAGTTACTCTGCTGGCTGAGACGATTGATCCTGACTACCAAGGAGAAACTGACTACACAATGGAGGCATGGAAGAATATTTCTGGAATACAGTAGATTCTTCTGGATGCCTCTTAGTATTACCATGCCCTATGATTAAGGTCAATGGGAAACTATAGCATTGAAATCAAGGCAGGATTATTAATGTCTCAGGCCCTTGAGGACACCCTTCATCTGGAGTTTGGGTAACTCCACCAGATAAAGAACTAGATAAAGGATTTTCTGAAGGCAAAGGAAATACAGAGTGGCTAGTAGAGGAAGGCTGTTATAAATAACAGCTGTGACTGTGTGACCAGTTACAGAAAGGAGGGCTGTAGTTGTTGAACATATCCCTCTTACCTTGTTGTCAATATGTTGCATGTATTTATATGCATGTATGTCTATAAATATATATATATCTTTTCTCTCTTATTCTCTTACCATGTAACGTAAGATGTATTCACTTTTATATCATAGTATTTAAATAGCATTTGAATATTAAATACATAGTATTTAAAAAATATTTTGCATTATCGTAATGCAAATATAAGTTATGGGATATCGAAGAGAAAAGTAAATACTCAAGCACTTTATCTCCTCTTCTGAAAAAGAGGCTGGTGTGTTTTTAGTTGTATGGAGAATTGTATCAGGTGGAATTATAACCTTGTTATTGTCTTTATTTGGATATTAGGTAGGTTTAAGGAGATGAATATAGGTACCCATTTGAGAAGGAATGGACTTATGTTTTTTCCAGCTTTATTGAGGTATAATCAACAAATAGAAACTGTCTATATTAAAGGTGTACAATGTGACATTTTGATATTTGTATGCATTGTAAAATGATTACCACAACTAATCTAATTAACATATTTATCACCTCATATAGTATATTAGTTCCTCTTGCTCTGCTATACAGGAATACCTGAGACTGGGTAATTTATAAAGAAAATAAGTTTATTTGGCTCATAGTTTTGCAGGCTGTATAAAAAGTGTGGAATAGGCATCTGCTTGGCTTGTGGTGAGGGCCTCAGGAAGCTTTTACTCATGGCAGAAGGTAAAGGGAGTCAGCATGTCACATGGCAAGAGAGATTAGCAATAGGGAGAGGAGGGAGGTGCCAGGCTCTTTTCAATAATTAGATCTGCAGGTTACCTTCAGGATGGCACAAAGCCATGCATGTTGGATCCACCTCCATAACCCAAACAATCCCACCCACCAAGCCCCATCTCTGACCTTGCAGATCAAATTTCAACATGAGATTTGGAGGGAACAAATATGCAAAGTATATCACATGTTTTTTTTTTTGTGGTAAGAACATTTAACACCTACTGTACTAAAAATCATAGTCACGATGCCATACATTAGGTCTCCAGAATTTATTCATCTTGCATAACTGAAATTTTTTACTTTTTCAGACACCTCCTCATTTCTTCCATTCTCCAACCTCTGGCAACCACCAATCTACTCTCTGCTTCTATGAGTTTGACTCTTTTTGATTCCACATATATGTGAGATTATTCAGTATTTGTCTTTCTGTATGGGCTTATTTCACTTAACATAATGTCCTCTAGGTTCATCCATGTTGTCACAAATGACAGAATTTCCTACTTTTTAAAGGTTGAATAATATTCCATTTTATACTTACATATTATATGCATATTATATGTATGTATACAATGTTTTCTTTATCTGCATTTTCTTTATCCATTTATCTGTTAGTGGACACTTAGGTTGGTTCTATATTTTGGCTCTTGTGAGTGATATTGCAATGAACATGGAAGTGCAGATATCTCTTTGAGATACTGATTTTATTTTCTTTAGATATATACCCAAAAGTGGGATTGCTGGATCATATGGTAGTTCTATTTTTAATTTTTTGAGCAACCTCCACACAATTTTACATAATGGCTAAACAATTGAAATTCCCACTGACAATGCACAAGCATTTTCTTTTCTCAACATTCTTGTCAACACGTGTTATCTTTTGTCTTCTTTTTTTTACTATAGCCGTTATTTTCTTATTGATACAAAATATTTTACATATTTAACGAGTACATGTGAATATTTGTTACATGCATATAATGTGCAATGATCAAGTCAGGGTGTTTGTGTTTTCCATCACTTGGAGTATTTATTATTTCTTTATGTTGGTGGTATTTCAAGTCCTCTGTTCTAGCTACTTTGAAATACACAATACACTGTTGCTATCTGTAGTTACCATACTCTGGTATTGAATATTGGGGCTCATTTCTTCTAACTTGTATTTTTGTATCCACTAACCAACTCTTCATTCTCCCCTCCACCCACATACTCTTCTCAGCCTCTGGTACCTAACAATCCATTATCTATCTCCATGAGATAAACTTTTTTAGCTCCCACCACATATGAGTGAGAACATGTGGCTTCTGCCTTTCTGTGCCTGGCCTATTTCACTTAATATAATGACCTCCAGTTTCATCCACATTGCTACAAATGACATGGTTTTATTCTTTTTTCGTCACGTGAATAGCATACCATCGTATCTATATACAACATTTTCTTTATCAATTTATCTGTTGATGGACACTTATGTTGAGTCCACACTTTTGCTTTTGTGAATAGTGCTGCATAATTTCTCATTGTGTTTTTTTTGCATTTTTTTGATGATTTGTGTTGTTGAGTATTTTTTCATATACCTCTTGGCCATTTGGATGTTTTCTTTTGAGAAAGGTATATTCAGTCCCATTTAATATTTTCTTCCATGCTATAGGTTTTCTCTTGACTCTGTTTATTGTTTTTTTTTGATATGCAACATCTTTATAGATTGATGTAGTTCCAGTTGTCTATTTTTGGTTTTGATGCGTGTGCTTTGGGGGTCATAGCTAAAACTCATTACCTATACGAATGTCAAGAAGTCTTTTTCCCTGTTGTTTTTCTAGTAGTTTTACAGTTACAAGCCTTATGGTTACGTACTTAATTCATTTTGAGTTGGTTTTGTACAGGGTCTAATGTCATTGTTCTGCATGTAAATATAGTTTTTCCAACACCGTATATTGAAGAAACTATCATTTTTCTATTGTGTACATCTGTTACCTTTGCCAAATTCATTTGACTTTATAATCCATGAACGTACTTCCAGGCTTTCTGTTCTTTTCCATTGGTCCCTATGTCTGTTTTTATGCTAGTATCATTTCGTTTTGATTACTGTAGCTTTGTAGTGTGTTTTGAAATCAGGTAGTGTGATGCCTCCAGTTTTATTCTTCATTCTCAAAATTGCTTTGGCTAGTCTGGGTCTTTTGTGGTCCCATATGAATGTTAAGAAATTATTTTCTACTTATGTGAAAAATCACTTTGGAATTTCATTAGGGATTGCACTGAATCTGTAGATTGTGTTGTGTAGGATGCACATTTTAATAATATTAATTTTTCCAAACCAGGAACATGACATCTCTTTATTTAATTGTGTCTTTTTCAATTTCTTACACCAGTGTCACGGTTTTCATTGTAAATCACTTTCACTTCCTTAGTTAAATATACTCCTAAGTATTTTTAAAATGTTATTGTAAATAAAATAATTCTCTTAATTTTTTAAGATAGCTTGTTTATTGTATAAAACTTTAGTGATTTTTGTATGTTGATTTTGTATCCTGCAACACTTGCGACACTACTAAATTTGTTTATTACTTTTAACAGTTTTTCGGTGGAGTAGTCAGGGTTTTATATATGTAAGATCATGTCATTTGTAAACAAAGACAGTTTTATTTGTTCCTCTCTGATTTGGATGCCTTTTATTTCTTTTTATTGATGAATAATTGCTCTGGCTAGGATTTTGAGTACTATGTTGAGTAGAAGTGATGTGAGTAAGCACCATTGTCTTGTTCCTTATTTTAGAGGAAAAGTTGTCAGCTTTCTACGGTTGACTATGATGTTATAAGTGGGCTTGTCATATATGGCCTTTATTCTGATAAACTACATTATTCCTGTATTTAATAGGTTGAGAGTTTTATCACGAAAGGATGTTGAGTTTTGTCTAATGATTTTTCTGCATCTATTGATATTTATTTTTTATCATCCATTCTTATAATATGATGTATCGCATCTGTTGATTTGCTTATATTCGAACATCCTTGCATTTTAGAGATAAAACCCACTTAATCATGATGTATAATCTTTTTTTAATGTGCCGGTGAATTTGCTTTGCTAATATTTTGTTGAGGATTTTTCCATTTAAGTTCATAAGGAATATTGACTTGTAAACATAAAATCTACCAAGACTGTATCATGAAGAATTAGAAAATATAGGTAAACCAATAATAAGTAAAGAGATTGATTCAGTAATCAAAAAGCTCTCCACAAACAAAAGCCCAGGATGTATATTCTACCAGATATCTAAGGAAAAATTAATGCCAATCATTCACAAACTCATACAATAATTGAACAGGAGGAAATTACCCAATAAATTTTATAATCAGTATTAATTACCCCAACACCAAAGTCACCAAAGATATTACAAGAAAACAAAATTATAGGCCAATATTTTAGTGATGGTTAATTTTATGTGTCAACCTGTTTGGGCCACCAGGTGTGGAAATTTTGGTCAATCATTATTCTCAGCGTGTGTATGTAGACGCTTTTGCATGTGAATAACATTTGATTTGTAAGACTGAGTAATATAGATTGGCTTTCTCAATGTGAGTTTCTCTTATTTAATCAGTCAAAAACTTGAATAGAACAAAAAGTTGACTTGGTCTTAAGAGAGAACTCTTTCTGCTTGGTGATTGAGCTAGAACATAGGTCTCTTCCTTTCTTTAGACTCAAACTAAAACATTGGCTCTTCTTGGCTCTTGAGAATGTCAGCTTTCAGGTTGGAACTTACATCATTGGCTCTCCTGATTCTCAGGCCTTCAAATTCAGGCTGGAACTGGAACTCCACTACTGGCTCTTCTAGGTCTCCAGCCTGCTTACTGAAGATCTTAATACGTCCCAGCCTCCATAATCATGTGAGCCAATTCCTTATAATAAATATATTTATATATTTATATATTATACATTACCTAAATAGATATTATACATATTATATAAATATATAAAGAGATTTATAAGATATATATGTATAAATATTATATATATATACATTATGTTTCTATAGAGAACCCTGGATATTACCTTGATTAGGCCACATTGGAGCTAGTAAGTGTCAATGTTGGGATACATCCATGTTTGTCTGATTTAATGGCTGTGCTCATATTATCTCCTGTGCCATAGTTGAGTTCTGCTTATTGAATAGTGAAGGTGGATAGAGACTCAGAGGTCCCCCATATCTCTTGCTGATGCCTCATTGCCTAAATGCTTAGTGAATCTTGTCTTGTATTTTGATTGATTTGCTGTATGAAAATTATCCCCAAATTTAGTAGTATAAAACAGCAATCATTTCATTTTGCTCACTCATTTACGGTTAAGAAATTCAGGAAAGGCTTGGCTAGGTTACTCTTTCATGGGGTCTCTCATGTGGTTGCAGTGAGCTGTCCCCTAGGGTATCAGTTGCCTGAAGCTCAACTGAATTGAACCTCCAAGATGGCTCAGTAACTTGACTGATAGTTGATTCTTGGTATTGGCTTCGGGGCTTGGCCAGACTGTCAGCCAGAGTACCAGAGACTTTCCATCACAGTAATCTCAGAGCAGTCAGACTTTCTTCATGGTGGCTGACCTCTTTCAGAGGGAGCAGACTGTTTAATCTGGTGGAAGCCACAGGGTGTTTTTGGCCTAGTCACAGAAGCCATATAATACTATGTCAACTGTGGTTTATTGATTGTAAATGCATCACTGAGTTACGACCAGATTCAAGGGAAGGAAACAGAGATCCCGCCTCTTAACAGAAGGGGTATCAAAGATTTTGTGGGCATGTTTAGAAAGTGCCATGCATTATTATTTTAGGATCTAGGTATCTCTAGATATGGCATAAGACCAGAAAATGGACTTTGAAATGAGGTCATGATTTTAACCTTCTTCCGTCATTTATTGCTCTATAGCTGTGGACAAATTAATTTAAGTATATTGGTTAGCGACCTTCTCTGAAAAAAGAGGGTGTTGATACCTACTTTGCAGCTGAAGAAAGTATATGTGCAAGTTTCTTATACTAATTAGTACTCAATTAATATTTGAATGATGGTTTTATACCTCCTTCACTTAACTCACCAATTCCTATTATTTTTAGGTATAATTTAGAGACATATCAGGATATGATTTACAATTTGATTTTTCCTTTAGAGACAGTGGATGCATTACAAACTTAATCTATGTATTAAGCCCGAAACAAAATTAACTGTGGCCCAAAGATACACATTGCTACATCATGGATCATGGCATGATCCACGCTATACCATGAATCAAATCATGGTGTATACGTCATATATCTTTTTTCATGTAAGATAGTTAAACAAGTGCAGTCACAGAACATCTCAGATCAAATCCAAATCCCTGGTTGATCTACTCTGATAAAAATTTTTTTCTTTCTAATTTAAAGCTATTTGATAAAAAGTTTCATTGTATTGGAATCCAGAGGAATCTATTACCTGGAATTCACAAAAAGAGTTTAACCAAATGAATAAATCGAATTTAAGGAGCAATGGCATGTAGAAGACAAAAGCCAGGGACTCGCATGGAGTAACACAAAATTCCCCATATGGAAGTCATTTAAGCTTCAATTTTTCACATGGTAGGGATGAAAACATTCTTCTGCTATGGAGCTTCATAAAGCACGTCAGGCATTTTCTTGCACCAGCCTTTTACACATCTGTCAATTGGAGAAGTTAACCTCTCTGCTGTTTTGATGAGAAAAAGATAAAAATCGAAGTCTTGGTGATTTTATAGGGGTGCTGGCTGCTTATGTCTTTGGCTATCTCTTCAACCCCCTTGGTGTGAAGACATCCTTGATTCAAAACAGATGTGGTCCACTTGGCACGGCCTACTAGACACCACATTGCTCACAGAGCTCTGTGGTTCACAAGGTACCCTCATGGAACTGGGCCAGTACCTATGGCTAGATTTTCTGCCCAGCACTGTGGACTGACACCTGATGGGTTTTCAAGAGACTCACACCCAGGTGTCTAACTAAATAGATAACAGATAATCTCACTTACAGATCATCACATTTACTGTAGCATTGAGTCTTATTTTTCACCCTTCTCAGGGAAGTTTAAGGGACAGTCATATTTGCATAATCTTAATTTTCAGCTTTTACTTAGCTGTTCTTTAGTTGAGTGGCAAATAATGTTTACTTTACAAAGTTTTTTTGAATGTGCCTTGGGTTTTTTTCCTGAGCAGATGGAATACTGCCTTGAAAGCTAGAAAGCAATTTTCTTGTTTCCATATGGGGAAGAGAAGTGGGGAGTGGTCAACGGAGGCAGCACATTTAAGCAAGCTGTTAGAATAACTTAGGATTTATTCAGTTTCCATTACGAATATCTAATTATAAATAATTACCCCAAACTAATTTAATTCCATCCTCTTGAGCTTTATTCGAGCAAAAAGCTTATCCATATGCATTTTGTTAAATAAACCATTGCACTGTGAAGGGAACAAAAACACTCAACGAGATTGATATGACTTGCATGGGAAAGGAGGGGATTAACAATAATTGGGCATTTTTTGGAGTATCCTCTCCAATTCCATTAGTGGTGAAATATAAGTAGGTGTTTAAGAAAATGAGTTCACAGTGAAGAATTTCAGGAGATTACCAGTTTTAATAGATGTTCCCTGCCCTACTTAAGAGTTAATGCCAGAAACAGTAGAACAGTTTGTTTTAGTATTAGGCGAAATTTTTAAATATGTAAAAAAATTAAAATTTTAAGGTCAAAGGCTGATAACTCACTAAAATAAGAATAGATATTAATTTTCATTTTCAGTTTTTCACAAGTTTTTGAAGATGTAGTGTCTTTTTATCTGAAGATGAAATATGAACCTCATAATTTTAGTGTAGTTATTCCGGAAACCAGAGTTCACACTTGTTGGAAAAGCAAAGAGCTTCATTGTTTTTCTGCATTAAAAAATTAATGTATTTTCAATTTAAAAATTTACATGAAACAAAATGTAGAAAATATAAATCACCAATAAACTTATAACACAGATAACATAATTATTAACATATTGATATATTTCTCTTCAGTACTTTTTCTATGAATGAGAAGGATTTTTATGTAATTACAATTAAAGCACAGCATACATGTAGAAAGTGACCAAATATTCTAGAGGCAGAACATCTTCAGAAGCCCTCCCATCACCACCCCTGTGCACAAGTAGTATATTTCCTTGACTTTAAAAGTTTCAGTAGTTTGGGGGGTACAGGTGGTCTTGGGTTACATGGATAAGTTCTTTACTGGTGATTTCTGAGATTTAGTGCATCCATCACCCAAGCTATTCTGAATGTGATATAAAAGGAATCACACATTGTATATTCTTTTATGTTGGCTTATTTTGCATAACATTAGGACTGTAAGATATATTAATATTGTTATGTGCCATGTAATTTGCTTATACTTGTTGATGTATATACTTACATTGTATAAATGTACCAGATTTCGGGGCCGGGCACGGTGGCTCACGCCTGTAATCCCTGCACTTTGGGAGGCCAAGGCGGGCGGATCACGAGGTCAGGAGATCGAGACCATCCTGGCTAACATAGTGAAACCCCGTCTCTATTAAAAATACAAAAAAATTAGCCGGGCGTGGTGGCGGGCGCCTGTAGTCCCAGCTACTCGGGAGGCTGAGGCAGGAGAATGGCGTGAACCCAGGGGGCGGAGCTTGCAGTGAGCCGAGATCCTGCCACTGCGCTCCAGCCTGGGTGACAGAGTGAGATTCCGTCTCGGAAAAAAAAAAAAAAAAAAAGTACCAGACTTCATTTAATCATTTTTTTATTTGGTTGCTTCAAGTTTGGGGCTATTAGATATATTGTTGCTATGAAATTCTAGTGCATGCCTTATGGTGGAACTTACGGACATGTTTCTGTTTGGCATATACTTAGGAGTACAATTGGTGGTTTCTAGGGGTATGCATGTGGTGAGTTTTTAATACACACTGTCAAAGAGTTTTCCAAAATAACTGTAATAATTCACACTTTCACTGGCAATGTATGAGACTTGCAGATGCTCTACATACTTCCAACACTTGATACAAAATAATTGTTTTTAAATCAAAGTAAAGTAAATAATACTCCACATGCACTTTGGAAGCCTGCGCTTCATACATAACCATACATCCTGGGCATCTTTCCATGTCAATAAATAAAAAGATCAGCATTTTAAGTCACTGTGTAATAATCGTTTGTATTGTGTATTTAAGTATATGTAATTCTTTTGTTGATGAATATTTCTACAGATTTTAAAGTTTCATTTTATAAAAAAATGGATTATATAATTCTCTATGCATATAGTTTACAAATCAATATAACTCTTGTCAGTAAATTAAATCACTGTATTTTTCCTACATATTATTCATCGCACTAAAATGACACAAATCCAACATTATTTAATTTTTATCTTACTTCTACCCCTTCTTAGTTGTAAATAGCGTCTGTTAGTAAAATAGCACATGACAGAGAAAATTAGATTCACTAAATATTTGTGATTAATTATCTCACATAGACTCTCAAATTTTTCTGTTTGGCCATATTTCCCCATTCTACTCATTGATTATTTAAAATCTTTAACCTCCTTAGACTTCTAAATCTCCCCCTACCTTTTTCTATGCTCTCAGCAGATGACTGATCCTCACATTTCATAGAGAATATAGGAGCCATCAGAAGACAATGCACCCAAAGAGATTTGCAAGTCTCTGCCAGGCAGAAACTTACATACGCGCGCACACACACACACACACACGCACACCTGGCCTATCTTCTTTACTTCTATGAAAGCAGAGAAGCTGATGCCTCACCTTCTTCTACTTCTCCATGTAAGGTCAGTTCTGGCAACTGGTCTTTGGAGCCCGTTGCCCTCTCTCTTTTTGCTGACTCATTTGACTCATTTTCCCTTGCTCCTTTACTGACTTCGTTTCTGCTGGCAGCTAAACTCCAAGTATATTAATTACTCCTGACTTTGTTAATTCTCTTTCCTTTTAATTTTCTCCTATTTCCCTTTTCTACTTCTCTCTTTTCTTCCACTCACTGTTTCTCATGTTCTCTTCATTTTAATTTTTCCTTCGCTTTCCTATTTTTATGTTGTCTTTAGCTTTAATTAGTCAGTGTTATGGTATAAAACACTATGCTTGCATCTTCTAGATTTATACAGACAATCTGGTGTTCTTTGCTTATCTTTTTTTAACCTCTTTTTACTCTTAGACAAATGACTATTTGTTAACTTCTATTACATTTATCAGAGACAGTACAAAATTGACATGTCTAAAATAGAACCTTTCATATTTCTTTTCCCCAATAAAGCCTGTCTTCACATCCCAGTAAATGGTACACATTCACCTAGTGGCGAGCTGAAATTATAAAAGTTATCTAGGATTCCTGTCTTTTATTGTTTCAGCCAGTCAAATTAATTGACAAGGCCATTGTATAATGCTCCAAAACATGTCTAAATTTATCTCAACAGCCACCTGCCCCCCAAGCCAAAATAATCCCCCACTAGATGCGGAAATGATCATGGTCAACTCCATGACGGCCTCATTCATCATTTTAGGCCCAGTTCTTGGCACAGTGCCTGACACTTAATAGATGTTCACAAATGTAGATTTAATCACCATAGTCTTTTGCCTTAACTTCTAAAGATGTTTGTATTAATATTTCAGGCTTAAAATAATTTCTTCTTGAAAGCATTGTCTTTCATCCAAAGTGAATCAAATCCCAATTTCAGGCTCTTATAACACCCTGTATCAATGCATCTCTCTTTTCTCATTATTTTCCAGATATAAACCCTCATTAGTTTTCTAACAGTTCATTAACATTGCCTGACCCTGAGTTTCAGAGGGAAAGGGGACCGACTTCCTGTTTATGTCTCCATTCTGCCTACATATTTTGCATATCAGTGATAAATTTCAAGAAGTGTTTTTGTACATCGAAGTGTACACCTATTCTTAATACTTGTTATCCATATTTCCAATGTTTCCTAAATTCAAATAATTTATGTTTTCTCCTTGCAATCAAACAGATTTTTCATTTTTAGTTTCATGTACTTTAGGTATGCATTTCTTTTAAATCATTACCTATGTAAATATTGTGTGTAATTGTTGTTTTACTTTGTATGTTTTGATTACTGGTCATTTGACTTCTTTTCTATTTTCAGGCTACATGTACCTATTTTTCCATTTATATATTGACTTTAGTTATTTGTAAGACCCTTTTCATATTAGTGAGATTAATCTCTTCTCCACAACATAATACTATATGTTTCCCAGGCTGTCATCTGCGTTTGCTTACATTCTTTTGCAATAGCTTTTTTATTCATTTATTTAGCAGTCATTTATTAGATTCCCACTATATGTCTAAAACCATTCAAGAAGTAGGAACAAAGCAATAATAGCAACAGACAAAATACTGCCTTTATGGAGTTTACATTGCAGTTACAGGGAGGCTGGGTAGACAAACAATAATTGATATAAAATAAATAACACACATAAAATATTTGGTAGTGGTAAGAGTTATTAACATAATTAAAGCAGGAAAAGGAATTAAGAAGGGTCAGCAAGTGGGGATTGGAAACTTAATAAAGTAGGGTGTGCATGTCTTACTCGGATTACGGAGTTTCCTTCAATCCTCAATTGGTTATGCAAATTTGGGCTTACATTTTTAAAACACCTCTCTTTTCCAGAACAATTTATGTGTTTTCAATTTAACAAAACAACAAAACAACAAGAGGATTGAATTTGGACAATAATGTTAGGTATCATATAATTAGATGAATATAACTAGATGAAGAGTATATAATTGCATTAGATATAGGTCAACATTTCTCTCAAATTGGAGAGGAATTTGATGGTATTAGATGGAATATCAAGTAAGTAAAGAAACTGGCCTAACTTGTGGATATTAAGCTTCAAATATTTGGAGTATTTTCGTAATTTAGTTCATTCCTAGTGAGGTTTCCTGTACTTACTTTTGTGTTTTTAATTTAGCTGACTCTTGCCTCATAATGAGAAGTATAAGTAAATCAAGATAAAGCAATCAAATACCTTATTCTGAGAATTAAGATGTACACCAGAAACACATAATTAATAAATATAATTCTTTCAGTATTGTTGTTTTCAGAAGTGAAGGTTTTGTTTCTCTATCTAGTGATTGGCAAAAAAAGAGCTTCCTTGGGGAATCTACAGCCTTTGGTGTTTTGCTACTAAAACTTCAATAAGAAGAATTACTTGGTAAAATAAGCCAAATTATGGTTGATTTGCCACAGATTAAGAAGCAAGGAAATGTGAGGAGTACATTTGGATAGAAAGGGTAAGATGTGATCATGGCAAGTGTTAAAGGCATTTTTGATTATTCGTTGCCATGGAACAAAGCATGCCAAGTCTTCGTGGCTTAAAATAATAATTGATTATTGTCATTCCATGTTCTGGGAGTTAACTGGGTTCTGTGGGACAGGTATTTTGCTGGGTCTCTCATGCAGTATAGTCACATGACAACAGAGACACATATGGACTAAACATTCAAGATGGCTAGCTCACATGGCTGGTAGTTGTTGCTGACTGTCAGGATTTCAGCTGGGACTATCGCTAGCAGTGCCAGTGCAAACCCTCCACCTGTCTTGGGGTTCTTACAGCATGGCATGGGTTCTGAGGGGGAGTGTCACAAAAAGCAAGCATTCCAAGAGACTCAAGCTGGAGTCTTCTTATCACCTAACTTTGGAAGTCCAAGAAATCGCTTCTGTTACCTGTTTGTCAAGCACATCTCTAAGGCCAACCAGATTTAACGAAAGGACAAGTAGGCTCTACCTCTTAATGAGGGAGGGATGAGGCCACGTTGGAAAGACTCTGAAGCATGGGACATGTGGGTGCAGCCATCTGTGGAAAATACAAACTACCGCAAAGGCCATGAAGAACTGTTTCAAGGTAATAAGATATAATGGAGAAGTCTACTGTCACTGCTGCCATTGTCCCTGTCCAGATCACCACCCCCACAACTGTTCCTTGCACTATTGATGCAATAGCTCAGCTATTCACTCCCATGTATCCTCACCTCCAATCCACTTTTTCTTCAGCAGCCAGAATTATCTACTCAAAGTTAAACCAGAGCATATCACTTCCACACTTAAAACCATAAACAGCTTTCCATTACACATAGAATGACTTAGTTCCAGATTTCTTCCCTAACCCTGTTTCTAGCCACTGCCTTCTCCATCCTGCCAGGTCGGCCACGCTCTCATTTATTCAGTACAGATTTGATGACAAAGGCCTTGAGTCAACACACTTGCAGGTAATTAACATGGTCACCCCCCACCCTCCCAAAAGAGCAGTCCTGCACAAGGACGATTAAAGGCCAGGTTCCAAGGCCTGAGTAAACTAAATTACCTAGATGAGTTTCTTTACATCTCCTTGCCATCTGACCTAAGTTTGCAGGCACCTGATAATAGAATCTGGCTGCCTTCAGCCAAATCCTTTTCCGAAGATTTTGTAAAACCTCCCGGCCTTCCAAAAAGGTTTGCATCTTTCTACAATTTTTCCCAACACCCTGACTGATATCCTACACCACCCCAGTCTCAGGGAACTCCTTTCACCTCTTTCACCTTCTTTACTTTACCATGCTTGCTATGGTTTTAGAGCTTTCCCAGACACTCTCCTGTAAGACTGAAACAATCTTCTCTCCAATCTTTCTTGGTTATTTTCTATTGTATTTTAAGTCTTATTTTGAATGCCACTGGCCTTGTAAAGTATATTCTCTTTGTTCCTTTATAATATCCCAAAATATTCTTCACGCAGAAGTGCAATTGCTTGATTTCTTAATACTTTCTTCAATAAAACTATATGACCCATGAATCTTCCTTCTTGACCTAAGTTTCTTATGATAGTATATTATAATCATCACTGTCTGCTACTATATATTATAACAGACTATATATTTATAAATATATATAAGAGGTATTTATAGAATATTTTACCCATTAACAGTATAACACATATTCTTATCAAGTTCACATACAGCATTCACCAAGATAGACTACATTCTGGCCATAAACACAAGTCAACAAATTTAAAGATGGAAATTGTATAAAGTTTGCTTTCAGCTCACAATGGAATTAAACTAAAAATCAATAACAGAAATACAGCTGGAAAATTGTAAAATACTTAGAAATTAAACAACATACTTCTAAATAACACATGGATCAAAGAAGAAATCTCAAGAAAACTTTAAAATATTTTGAACTAAATAAGAATACCTCTTATCATAACTTGTGGCATACAGTGAAAACAGTGCTGTGAGGAAAATTTATAGCATTGAATGAATATGTGAGAAAAGAAAAAAATCTAAAATGAATAACCTACGTTTGCAACTTAGGAAACTAAAAAAAAAGCAATTTAAAAATGAAGCAAGCGGCCGGGCGCGGTGGCTCACGCCTGTAATCCCAGCACTTTGGGAGGCCGAGGCGGGCGGATCACGAGGTCAGGAGATCGAGACCATCCCGGCTAAAACGGTGAAACCCCGTCTCTACTAAAAATACAAAAAATTAGCCAGGCGTAGTGGCAGGCGCCTGTAGTCCCGCTACTTGGGAGGCTGAGGCAGGAGAATGGCGTGAACCCGGGAGGCGGAGCTTGCAGTGAGCCGAGATCCCGCCACTGCACTCCAGCCTGGGCGACAGAGCGAGACGCCGTCTCAAAAAAAAAAAAAAAAAAAAAATGAAGCAAGCAGAAGAAAACAAATAATAAAAATTAGAGAAGCAATCAATGAAATTGAAACTAGGAAAACAATAGAGAGCATCAACAAAACTAAAGACTCATTATTTGAAAAGATCAATACAATTAATAGACCTCTAGCTGGTATAATGAAGAAAAAAATAGAGACGATACAAATTACTGATATAAGAAATGAAATAGAGTTCATCACCACTGATCCCATGGACATAAAAAGAGTAAAATCTTCATGCCTACTAATTTGATAACCTAAATGAAATGAAACTATTGCTTAAAAAACATAATTTATGGCCGAGCTCGGTGGCTGACACTTGTAATCCCAGCACTTTGAGAGGCCAAGGCGGGTGGATCACGAGGTCAGGAGTTTGAGACCAGCCTGGCCAACATAGTGAAACCCCGTCTCTACTAAAAAAAAAAGTATATATATATATATATGTGTGTGTGTGTGTGTGTGTGTGTGTATATATATGTGTGTACATATGTGTGTGTGTGTATGTGTGTGTGTGTGTATATATATATATATATATATATGTACACACAAAAATTAGCTGGGTGTGGTGGTGGGTGCCTATAATCCCAGCTACTCAGGAGGCTGAGACAGGAGAATTGTTTGAATCCAGGAGGCAGAGTTGCAGTGAGCCGAGATTGTGCCATTGCACTCCAGCCTGGGTGACAGGGACAGACTCCGTCTCAAACAAAACAAAAGAAAACAAAACAAAACAAAACAAAAAAACCCATAATTTACCAAAACGTACACAAAAGGAAATAGATAACATGAATACATATATATATAAAAATTGAATTAATAATTAACAGTTTTCCAAAAAAGAAAATGTCAAGTCATGCTGAGTTTACAGGTGAAATTTATCACATATTTAAGGAAGAGAGTTTAGCAACTCTCTATAATCTCTTGCAGAAAATTGAAGTAAAGGAGATACTTCGTAATTTATTTCAGGAGGCCAGCATCACTCTAATACCAAAATCAGGCAAAGACATTACAAGGAAACACACACACACACACACACACACACACACACAATATGTATCATAAGCATAGATGCAAAAATTTCTTTTTTTTTTCTTCTTGAGACAGAGTCTCCCTCGGTTGCCCAGGCTGGAATGCAGTGGCGCGATCTCGGCTCACTGCAACCTCCACCTCCTGAGTTCACGCCAATCTCCAGTCTCTGCCTCCAGAGTAGCTAGGATTACAGGTGCCCGCCACCACGCCTGGCTAATTTTTTGTATTTTGAGTAGAGACGGGGTTTCACCGTGTTAGCCAGGATGGTCTCGATCTCTTGACCTTGTGAGCCACCCGCCTCGGCCTCCCAAAGTGCTGGGATTACAGGCATGAGACACCGTGCCCGGCAGATGCAAAAATTTCTAACAAAATATTGGGAAATTGAATCTAATGATATATGAAAATAATTATATGCCATGAGTCATGGGATTTATTCCAGTTATTCATCACAACCTCCACTATTGAATGCAGCCTAAACTCCTGAAGAATTCAGATACCAATAACACTGTTTACAGCAAAGCAACCATACAGAGACTACACTACTGTTTTCTCCCAGAGACAAAACTAAAGTACCCTACTGAACAAACACATTTTCCTGAAAAAGTCCTCCCCTATGAAAACAAATTCAAAAATGGGAATAAGTGATTGTTATACTAGATGCACAGATAACAACATAAGGACACAGGAAACATGAAAAAGTTTCCAATAAAATACAACATCTCCAAAGGAACAATAATTCTCCAGCAAAGGATCTTAGTCAAAAAGGAGTTTTTGAAATTTCAAGTACAAAATTCAAAATATTCATTTTGTCTGGGTGCAGTGGCCTGCAGTCCCTTGGAAAGCTGAGGTGAGACGATTGTTTGATCCAGGAATTTGAAGCTGCAGTGAGCTATATTGGCACCACTGCTTTCCAGCCTGGGTGACAGATTGAGACTCTGTCTCTAAAAAAAAACAGATTAAAGAAAGAACCTAAAATATTGACTTTAAAGAAGTTCAGTGAGATACAAGACAATTTTGAAAAATTACACAAAGAAATTAAAAAGAACAATTCAGGATACAGATAAGAAATTTACCAAACAGATGGACATTTTAAAAAAGAACGAAATAGAAGTTCTGGAACTGAAGAATTAATTGAAGGAAATAAGAAATACATTTGGAAGCTTCAACATTATACTAGATCACACAGAAGAAAGAATCTCAGAACTGAAGACAGGCCTTTTTAAATAATCTACAGTCTGACAAAAATAAAGAGAAAACAAGTGAGCAAAGGCTTCATGACATTTGAGACAGCATAAGGTGGACAAATTCATAAATTATCAGTACACTTAAGGGCAAAGAAAAAAAAGAAAAGATTAGAAATCTAAAAAACAAAATAATAGGTAAAAACTTCCCAAGCCTAGAAAGAGATTTAGGCATTTAATACAGAAAACTCAATAATCCCCAGGGAGATACAGAGCAAAAAGTTCTTCCCCATGTCACATTATAATCAGACTGTTTCAATTAAAAGTTAAAGAGCAAACCCTAAAACCAGCAAGAGAAAAGCATTGAATCACCTATAAAGGAAACTCCATCAGACTAACAGTGAATTTCTCAGCAGAAACCTTGCAGGCAAGAAGAGAATGAAACAATATATTTAAAGTGCTGAAAGAACAAACAAACAAAAAAACACTGCCACCCAAGAACATCACAGTCAAGGAAAAAAAAAAGGACATCACAGTCAGCAAAATTACTCGTCACAAATGAAGGAGAAAGTCATTCCCAAGCTGAAATTTAGATCAAGTGGATTTAACAGACATTTACAGAATATTCTATCCAACAACTGCAAAATATACCTTCTTTTCATCAACATATGAAACATTCTATAGGACAAACCATATGTTAGGCCACAAAACAAGTCTAAGCATGTTTTAAAATGTCAAAATCATATCAAGTATCTTCTTAAGTGACAATGGAATAAAACGAGTAACCAATATCAAGAGGAATTCTGGAAACTATAAAAAATGGAAATTAAAAAACATGTTCATAAATAATCATTGGATCAACAAATTAAGACAGTAATCAAAAAATTGTTTTATTTGAAACAAATAAAAATGAAAACACAGCATGCCAATACCTGTGAAATTACAGCAAAAGTAGTGCTAATAGGGAAGTTTAGCAATCAATGTCTGTATCAAAAAAGTAGAAAGATTACAAATTAACAGTAACAATACACCTCAAGGAACTAGAAAAGCAAGAACAAACTATACCACAAGTTAACAGATGAAAGAAACAATAAAGGTCAGAGGAGAACTAAATGATGTACAGACTGAAACATAATACAAAGGATCAATTAAATGAAAAATTGGTTCTCCTAAATGATAAACAAAATTGATAAACTGCTAGGTAGACCACCAAGAAGAGAGAATACTCAAATAAAATGAGAAATGAAAATGGAGATATTACAACTGATACCACAGAAATACAAAAAATCATCAGAGACTGTTATGAATAACTATACAATGACAAACTGGAAAGCCTTGAGGAAATGGACAAATTCCTGGACACATATCACCCACCAAGATTGAATCAGGAAGAAATAGAAAATCTGAACAGACCAATAATTAACAGCAAGATATAATCAATCATAAAATGTCTCCCAACAAAGAAAAGCCCAAGACTAGATGGATTCATAGCTGAATTCTACAAAACATGCAAAGAAGAACTAATACAAATCCTCTTGAAGCTATTCCAAAAAATCAAAAATAGGAGAATTATCCCTAACTCACTCTATGAGGCTAGCATTACCCTATACCAAAACAAGCAAGATCACAACAACGAAAGAAAACTACGGGCCCATCTCCCTGATGGACAAAAATGCAAAATACCAGCAACAAAATACTAGCAAATAGAATCAAACAGCACATCATAAAGATTATGTACCACGATCAGCTAGAATTTATAATAGAAATACAAGGATGATTCTACATATGCAAATTAATAAATTTGAAATCATACATCACATAAACACAATGAAGGAGAAAAAATATGATCATCTCAATAGGTGCAGAAAAAACATTTGCTAAAATTAAACATCACTTCATGATAAAACTCTCAACAGACTAGGCATAGAAGGAACATATCTCAAAATAATAAAGTCCATACATTACAAACCCACAGCTAACATCACTATGAATGGAAAAAGTTGAAAACTCTTCCTCTAAGAACAGAAAAGAAGATAAGAATGCAGACTTTTAGCACTCCTACTCAATAATACTGGAAGTCCTAGTTAGAGCAAAAAACTACAAAACACTGATGAAAGAAATTGAAGAGGACACATAGAAATGGAAAAACAACCCATGCTCATGAACAGGAAGAATTACTATCATTTAAATGACCATATTGCACAAAACAATATACAAATTTAATGCATTCTATATCAAAATACCAGTGTCATTCTTCACAGAAATAGAAAAAAATTCCTAAAATTCATAAGGAATCAAAAAGGAGCCTGAATAGCCAAAGCAATCCTGAGGAAAAAGGACAATGCTGTAGGAATCACATTACTGCTTCAACATATATTACAAGGCTACAGTCACCAAAATAGCTTAGTATTGCTACAAAAATTGACACATAGACCAATGGAATGGAATAGAGACCCAGAAATAAACCACACATTTACAGTCAACTGATTTTTGACAAAACCAACAAGAATTTACCTTGGAGAAAGGACACCTTTTTTCAATATAGGGTGCTGGGAAAATTGTACAGCCACATGCTGAAGAATAAAACTGGACCCTTGTCTCTATCATATAAAAAATCAGCTCAAAGTGGATTAAAGACTTAATCATAAGACCTGAAATTATAACACTAATAGAAGAAAATCTGCAGAATACTCTTCTGGGTATTGGTCTAGGCAATAAATTTAGTGCAAGAGAAACAACAAATAAACGGGCCTTAAAAGCTTCTGTACAGCAGGAAGAAATTCAACAGAGTGAAGAGACAACCTGCTGAATGGAAGAAAATATTTGCAAATTATTCATCCTTCAATAAACCAATATCCAGAATATACAAGGAATTCAAACAACTCAACAGGAAAAAAACACACACACAAATAATCCCATTAAAAAGTGGGCAAAGGAGATGAATAGACATTTCTCAAAAGACTTAAAAATGGCTGACAGTGACACAACAACGCTTAACACCACTAATCTTCAGAGAAATGCAAATTAAAACTACAATGAGATAAACATCTTACTCCAGTCAGAATGGTTCATATTAAAAAGACAAAACAAAAAAAACCCAGATGTTGGTAAGGATGCAGAGAAAAGGTAACTACTATACACTGTTAGTGAGAATATAAAAAAATATAGCCACTATTGCAAACAGTATGAAGATTTCCCAGAAGACTAAAAATTACCGTTCAATCCAGCAGTCCCACTAGTGGGTATCTACCCAAAGGCAAATAAATCAATACATCAAAGATATACTTTGAAGTAAAAGATATACTTGAATGTTTATCAAAGATATACTTGAATGTTTATTGCAGTACTATTCACAATTGCAAAATTTGGAATCAATCTTAGTGTCCATTAATAGATGAATATATAGAGAAAATGTGATATGTGATATATCTATATATCTATCTGCATATACATATATAGAAAGAGCAATTCCATTTATAATGTATATATGAATTATATATATATCTATTGTGTATATATACACACAATTCCATATATATATATATATATATATATATATATATATATATACACACGCACACACACACACACACAGAGTGGAAAAATAGATAACAGAATGGGAAGGGTAAGTGGGGAATGAGGGAAGGTAGACAGAAGTGAGTTAAAGGATATAAACACACAGTAAGATAGAAGAAATACATTCAATGTTTGATAGCAGAGTAAGATGACTGTACTAAAAAATATATATTGTATTCAGGCGATGAACTCCCTAAATACCCTGACTTGATCACTATGCATTATATACATGTAAAACTTTCCCATGTACACTATGAATGAGCACAAATTTAAAAAATTAAAAATTAAATAATATTGTTGAAAGGTACAAGAAGCTTTGTTTTTTCTTCTTCCTTAAGATCATTTTTGTTATTTTTGGTCTTTTACATTTCTATAAAATTTTATAATTCATTTTTACATTTCTCAAAAATACTACTGAAATTTTGTTGGGGATATCACTGAATTTGTAAATTGTTTTGGGTAGTGTGAACGTTTTAATAATAGTAAGCCTTCTAGTCCATGAACACAGATTATTTTCCATTTTGTGTCTTTTAAAATTTCTTCCATCCAATGTTTTATAGTTTTCAGTGTACAAATCTCCTACTTCCTTATTTGGGTTTGTCCCAATATTTTTTATTTTTATTTTTGATGCTGCTGTAAATGGGATTAGATTTTGAATTTCATTTGTTATACTTCAGCGAAATTGTTAAGAAAAAATATATTAAAAATAAACTTGGAGCAATAGTTCCACAAATCAAAACACTTGGAGAATATTAGTCAAGATATTTTTCATTAGTGGGTAACCTCATAGATTGTTGATATTTAATGACTACCTGTTGAATAGATATAAGCATTAAGAAATGTATGTACATTCAGTATCTTCTCAATAACAAGTACAAATGAAGTTTCCGCCACCTTTGCATCTACAGTTCACGATCTAGATGAGAAGATGCTATGTCCACACTTGGAAAATTAGTGAAAGAAAATAGTAATGGCAACAGAAAAATAAATGCCATAAAACTTCAAAAGAATGAGGAGATGTTGGATGGTAATCGAATAAGAACCCATAGTAATGGGTCTTGCATTGGTCTTGGAGAATAATGAAATTTAAACCTTAAAAGATGGAGGGAGAAACCCATATCAGCAGGAAGGGAAGACATAGACAAGGATTCATAAGCAGGAGGACCATTTATTGGGAAGAAAACTAATGAATCTTAAGTATATTAGAAAGACAAAGAGGGATCCAGCTCCACTCCAGTGGAAATTGTGTGAAGAGAAAGAATATATAATACAGCACAAAGTGAAGCTGGGGTCCATATTGTTAAAAATCATTGAATGCCAGAGTATTTGGTTAGGGCTGTGAAGAGCTATTGATACATTTTAGGACTGAAATACGGAAGCTGATTGCCCTGTTCAGAAAGAAAAATTGAATTATGATTTACCAGTGGATTGAATAGTGAACAGAATAGAAAGAGGAAATATATTTTGTGACTACTTATGGTTCAGTGAAGACTGGATATGATTATAGTAATAATAGGCTTAATAGCTGAGACAATAAAATCACAGATTGATCTAAACTACAGAACCTCAGCAAGAACTTTGAGGAAAATTTAGACAAAAAATTAGGTATATGGAGACCTGGGATAAAATTAAACTTTTCTGGCCACAATACAGTTAAATTAGAAAGACATAAAAGCAAAAGCCTGAGAAATTTACAAATACATGGAAATTTACAAATACATGGAAATTTAAAAACATACTTCTAAATAAAAATAGGTCTAGAAGTAATTACAAGGGAAGTTAGCAAACAAGAGACATATTTCAATATAATAAAAGCCGTGTATGACAAACACACAGCCAACATAATACTGAATGAGGAAAAATTGAGAGCATTCCCTCCGAGAACTGGAACAAGACAAGGATGTCCACTCTCACCACTCCTCTTCAACATAGTACTGAAAGTCCTAGCCAGAGCAATCAGATAAGAGAAAGATATAAAAGGCATCCAAATCAGTAAAGAGAAAGTCAAACTGCCACTGTTTGCTGATGATATGATTGTTACTTGGAAAACTATAAAGATTCCTCCAAAAAGTTCCTAGAACTGATTTTTTAAAAATCAGCAAAGTTTCCAGATACAAAATTAATGTACACAAATTAGTAGCTCCTCTATACACCAACAGCGACCAAGCTGAGAATCAAATCAAGAACTCAACCCTGTTTACAATAGCTGCAAAAAAATAATAATTAGGAATATACCTAACAAAGGAAGTAAAAGACCTCTACAAGGAAAACTACAAAACACTGTTGAAAGAAATCACAGATGACATGAACAAATGGAAACACACTCCATGCTCATGGATGGGTAGAATAAGTATTATGAAATTGACCATACTGCCAAAAGCAATCTACAAATTCAGTGCAATTCCCATCGAAATGCCACCATCATTCTTCACAGAATTAGAAAAAACAATTCCAAAATGTATATGGAGCCAAAAAAGAGCCTGCATAGCCAAAGCAAGACTAAGCGAAAAGAACAGATTTGGAGGCATCAACTACCTGATTTCAAACTATACTTAAAAGGCCATCGTCACCAAAACAGCATGGTACTGGTATAAAAATAGGCAGATAGACCAATGGAACAGAATAGAGAACTCAGAAATAAACTCAAATACTTACAGTGAACAGATCTTCAACAAATCAATGAAAATATAAAGTGGAGAAAGGACACCCTTTTAAACAAATGGTGCTGGGATAATTGACTAGCCACATGTAGAAGAATGAAGCTGGATCGTCATCTCTCACCTTAAAAATCAGCTCAAGATGGATTAAGGACTTAAATCTAATACCTGAAACTATAAAAATTCTAGAAGATAACATTGGAAAAATCCCTTCTAGACATTGGCTTAGGCCAGGATTTTATGACCAAGAACCCAAAAGCAACTGCAATAAAAACAAAGATAAATCGATGGGACTTAAGTAAACTAAAGAGCTTTTGCATGGCAAAAGGAACAGTGAGCAGAGTAAACAGACAACCCACAGAGTGGGAAAAAGTCTTCACAATCTATACATCTGACAAATGACTAATATCCAATGTCTACAATAAACTCGAATAAATCAACAAGAAAAACAAACAAACAATCCCATCAAAAAGTGGGCTGAGGACATGAATAGACAATTCTTTAAAGAAGATACACAAATGGCCAACAAACATATGAAAAAATGCTCAACATCACTAGTGATCAGGGAAATGCAAATCAAAACCACTATGTGATACCATCTTACTCCTGCAAGAATGGCCATAATCAAAAGATAAAAAAATAGTAGATGTTGACATGGATGCAGTGAACATGGAACATTTCTACACTGCTGGTGGGAATATAAACTAGTACAACTACTATAAAAAACAGTGTGGAGATTCCTTAAAGAACTAAAAGTAGAACTACTATTTGATCCAGCAATCCCACTACTGGGTATCTACCTAGAGGAAAATAAGTCATTATATGAAAAATATACTTGTCCATGCATGTTTATAGCAGTGCAATTTGCAATTGCAAAAATTTGGAATCAACCCAAATGCCCACGAATCAATGAGTGGATAAAGAAACTGTGGTATATATATATATATATACATACATACAATGGAATACTACTCAGCTATAAGAAGGGATGAATTAATGGCATTTGCAGTAACCTAGATGAAATTGGAGACTATTATTCTAAGTGGAGTAACTCAGGAATGAAAAACCAAACATCATATGTTCTCACTCATAAGTGGGAGCTAAGATGTGAGGATGCAAAGGCATAAGAATGACACCACGGACTTTGGGGTATCAGAGGGAAGGGATGGGAAGGGGGTGAGGAATAAAAGACTACACACAAATAGGGTGCAATTTATGCTGCTCAGGTGATGGGTGCACCAAAATCTCACAAATCACCACTAAAGAACTTATGTAACCAAACGCCACCTGTTCCCTAATGACCTGTGGAAATAAAATAAAAATTAAAAAACAACAACAATGAGATACCACTACACACCCATTAGAATGACTGAAGTCCAAAAAACTGATATACTAAATGCTGGCAAGGGTGTGTGGCAACAGGAGCTCTCATTTATTGTTGGTGAATACAATATGGTTCAGTCCAAAAAAAAAAAAGAAAGAAACTAGAAAAAAAAAGAGCAAACTAAGCCCAAAGCAAGCAGAAAGAAGGAAATAAGATTATAGCAGAATTAAATACAATAGAGAAGAGGAAAAATATGTGACATGATCTTTTACATAACTACATGGTCTATTAAAAATTATTAGAAATAATAAATGAATTCAGAAAGTTTGCAGGATACAAGAATGTTTATAGCAACTTTATTCAGAATTACCAAAACTTGGAAGCAATCATGATTTTCTTCAGTAGACGGATAGATAAATAAACTGACACAACTAGACGATGGAATATTTTTCAGTGCTGAAAAGAAATGAGCTATCAATCCACAAAAATACATGAAATAATCTTGAATACAAATTACCATGTGAGAAAAGGCAATCTGAAAAGGCTGCATTCTGCATGATTAGAACTATGTGACATTTTGGAAAAGGCAAAACTACGGACATAGTGAAAAGATGAGTGGTTGCCAAGGGGTCAGAGAGCCTGCAGGAATGAAAAGGCAGAGAATAGAAGATTTTAGATTCATGAAACTATTATGTATTACACCATAATGGTGGTTAGATGTCATTATCCACTGGTCCAAACCCATAGAATGTACAACACTCTGAATGAACTCTAAAGTATGGACTTTGGGTAATGATGTGTGAATGTAGGTTTAATTGATTTTAACAAGTGTTTCACTTTGGTGCAGGATATTGATGGTGAGGGAAGGTGTACATTTATGGGTACAGTTGGTATATCAGAACTCTGTGTTTTCTGCTCAGTTTTTCTGTGAACCTAAAACTGCTCCAAAAACTAAAGTCTACTTTCAAAAAAATTCTTAATATAATTTTTTTCTTATCCCTATACATGACAGAAGGATTCCAAAATAATCCGGAAAAGTAAATAAATGAGAAAGTATTTTAAATAGTAAAAAACAAATTAGGAAGATAATTTTCCTACCAAATACTAAAACATATTTTTAGTAAATATCAACAAAATGATGCAATATGTTTTTAATAATGGACAGGCAGATCAACTAACTCAAATGTCTACTCAAGGTCTGTATGCTTTGTGGTCTAAAATGTTCTACAAAATTCATGCTTTAGAAACGTAATCCCTACTACAACAGTGTTTGGAAGTGGGGCCTAATGGGAGATGCTTAGGTCACGAGAACACTGTCTTAATGAACGGATTAATGCCACTATAAAAAGGGCTTGCAGGAGTAGGTTTTACCCCTTCCATCTTCTGCCATGTGGGGCTGCAGTAAGAAGACCCTCACCAGATGCAGGTTTTTTACCTTTGACTTACCAGGCTCCGGAACTGTAAGAAATAGATTTCTGTTCCTCATAAGGTATTCTCAGGTATTCTATTAGCACAAAATGGACTAAGACACTCATAAAATAGCACCGTTAATAAATACATGCATAATATACAAAATGTCATAAAAAACAATTACTGAAAAAACAGAAGAATTTCACTCTTTAAAAAAGACGCAAATTATACACCAAAGTAAATTCTAGATGTATAACTATTTTCTTCAGAAAAACAAAAGAAACAATTTAAAGAAAGTAGAAATTAAAAATAAAAGAATGTAATAAAATAGTTTATGTTCTTATCAATTTATTCTACTTCTAGGGATCCAGATATGGGACATAAATAGAGATGTGGATATTTTGCATGTATAATATTGTCAATTTTAACAACATAGACTATAAAGGGTAATGGTCCTGTAATAGGGAAATGGTTAAATAAATGTTGGCACACTCACAGTATGTAATATTATACTATCATTAAAAATACTGTATAGGCACACACAGGGCTGAAAGAAAATTAACTATCATAATACCTGTCCCTTAATTCTTGACTGTGAAAATGAATTATTTTATTTCCCTCTTTTCTATGTTGTACAAATGTTCTCAGAAGTATACACTTTTTTTTATAATGAACCACAATAAAAATATCGTTTTAAATTTTTTTGAAATAAGGAATACCTCAATTATAGCAGTAGCAATGAAATAAATAAGAGAAAAATATTGTACAAATTAATGCAGACTAGAATTGTGGGGTCATGAAGCTCATTTGGCTTGGGGGCCAAGAAAGAGAAAAAAGTAAAACATAATTCCAACTTTCTCAGTCTGGGTAATTGAAAGGATATTGACATCTTAAATAAACATATAGATTCACAAACATATTGTTTTATTTATTTTTAGAAGTAATGATATGTTCACAGTGAAGATTGTTAATTTTACTTCAAACTTGAACTTGCAATGCCAGTGGAACATTCAGGTAAAATATTGCATAGGCCTTTAAAAATTCTGTTTAAAATTCTGTTATTTTTCATAATACCAGATATATAACACAGCCTTTTGTAATATGATTTCTATAAAGAATTAAAATTTAGTTTTATATCATATTGTTCTCTTCAGGATATTACAGAAAATTTGACTATCATTTTATGTCATGTTCATTGATTATATTCTGGCTAAGACATCCTCCGACTATTCAGATATTTGAGAGAAGAATTTCCCTTGAAATCTTTCAGAGAAGGACCCATGAAATTTATTCCTCTGACCCCTGCATGCTTTTCAAATATGTACCTAAGAAAAAGAGATACTTCACAGCAGTTTTGCGCTTTTAGAAACTTATATAGAATTCAAAACATAAATAGAATATCAATAACGTTCAGAAATGTGTTTCACATTAAAATAGAAATTTGAAAGACTCAAGTCAGCTTGAAATGAGTAGCTAATGGACTTCATTTTGTATTCAGAAAGAAGTTCTGCTTCAACTATCTTTAATGCAAGATACATAGTTAAATTAGAGTGTTTCCTTTTCCTGAAGGAGGCACATCTTTGGTAACCAAAACAATGCCTCTGGGATCTCCTCCAAAATGGCAGCCATTATGTAACAAATTCCAAAAGAGACAAAAAGCAGCTGGTATCTTCTGAAGAGGTTACCTTAGAGATTTCATCGAAATCCAGGGATGCCTAGAAGCAGTTAGTTGCGAACGAGGACAATTTATTGTTCCATGTAAAGCAAGAGATTTTTTTTTCCCGGAGAACATTTTTGTTAATAATTTTATACACTTTGGGTTTCTGAGGGATCTTCAGAGTGAATATTGCAGCAAATCAAGTAGAGATTTTCTTTTTAATTGTGGCAAGAACACTTTACGAGGTACGTACCCAATTAGCAGATTTTAAAAGTACAATATAGTATTATCTATAGAAACAATGTTCTACAGAAAATCTCTAGAACTTATCTTGTATAACTAAAATTTTATACCCAGTAATTAGTACCTCTACATACCACCATCCTGGCCACTGGCTACCACTAGTCTACTATTTTCTTTTATGAGATTGACTATTTTAGATAACTTCATATAAATGAAATCATGCAATATTTGTCCTCTGTGATTGGACTCTTTCGCTTAGCATAATGTCCTAAAGATTGATGTTGTTGAATATTTCAGGATTTTCTTCTTTATTAAGGCTATCTAATATTTCATTATATGCATATACCACAACTTTTTAATACATTCATCTGTCAATTAACACCTAGGCTGTTCCCACATATTGACCATTGTAAATAGTACTGCGGTAAACATGGAAGTGTTAATATCTTTTTGAGATCCTGATTTTAATTTTTTTGGATAAACATCCAGAAGTGGAATCCCTGGATCACATGGTAGTCCTATTTTAATATTTTTTGAGAAACCTGCATATTATTTTTCACAGCAGCTGTAGCATTTTACGTTTCCACCAACTGTGTACAAGGGTTCCAATTTCTCCGCATCCTTGCCAAGACTAGTTGTAGATTTTTGTTGTTGTTGTTTGTTTTATTTAATAATAGCCATCTCAACAGGTGAGAGTTGATATGTCATTGTGATTTTGATTTGAATTTCCCTGATGATTAGTGATACTGAGCAGACAACTTGGGGGGAAAGTTTCATGACGTTAGTCTTGGCAATGATTTTGTGGCTATAACACCAAAAGTATAGACTAGAAAAAAAATCAGGCTGCATCAAACTAAAAAGCTTTCTCACAGCAAAGCAAACAATCAATAGGGTCAACAGGCAACCTATGGAATGGAAGAAATTATTTGCAAACTGTGTATCTGATGTCTTAGCCTGTTTTGTACTGCTATAACAGAATAACATGGCTGGGTAACTTATAAGCAATAGAAATGTATTTGGCTCATGGTTCTGGAGGCTGAAAAGTCCAAAGTGAAGGGGGTTGCATTTAGCGAGGGCCTTCTTGCTGCATCAGAACATGGGGAAAGGCATCACATGGCAAGGGAACAAGAGAGGAAAGGGGGCCAAATTTATTCTTTTATTAGGAACCCACTTCCACAATAACTAACACTTTCATGCAATAACAGTATTAATCTACACTATCTGGGAAGGGGAGAGGGAATGAAAGTGGAGTTGATCAAAAATGGTTAATGATTTAATCAGTAATGCCTACATAATGAAGCCTTCATAGATACTCAGAAACAGGATTTGGAATAAAGACATGGAAGCTCCATTCTGTGCACAGCAGCACACCCACCCCTATACCTTGCACTATGTATCTTTTCCAGCCGGCTATTCATCTGTATCTTTCATAATATTCTTTATAGTAAATGGATAAACATAAGTATAGTGTTTCCCTGAGTTCTGCAAGCTGTTCTAGCAAATTAATTAAACTTGAGTAGGAGATGTGAAAACTCTGATGAATAGTCAGTCAGAAATGCAGGCCACACTTGGGGCTTGTGTTTGGCCTTGAAGTGGGGAGCAGTTTGAGGGATTGAGCTCTTAACCAGAGATCTGCTGGTCTCCAAGTAGATAGTAGCAGAATTGAGGTCATTGTAGAATACCCAGTTGGCAGCCACTGAAGGATCTGGTGTTAGAAATGAATATGTTGAGTGACTGTTTTGTTTTCCTAATATTACAAATCAAACCAAAATCTGCAAATGTGACCTGTAAATGAACACTGGAAAATTTCCAGATTAACATTCTGGTTAGATTATGGAAAATACTCCAAAAGGAGAAGGGACTAAGTAAATGGGAGAAAAGATAGCAGAGAGAAGAAAGCTAATTCTTAAAATTTCATAAAATTCATTCATTGTACCTCAGTAAAGCTAGGAAGTATAGGTCCCATGTTCAAGTTAGTGCCTCAACTTGACATTTTAAAAATGATACCAGAAAAGTTTATTTTATATTATTCCCTGTACTTCCTTTCATAATTTGTTTATACTTGTGCTTGTTGATTTATCTTAATTGTCAATTTGTTGAAATAATAAATCAAATCAATTCTCAGTAGATTACTAGGATATGCTTTGTGAATGGAGACAGCTCTTACACAGTACTTAAGACACACTTCTCTTCAGTAAGTGTTTTAGGATATTTTTCAATACATACTTGCTTTTGCAGGATAGACCTTAAGCAGTGTATTAGGTTCTAGGAGTTAGCAAGAGTCTTGGGAAAGGTCAAATAGTTTATAATAGTACTTGGTGTCAGCACTTGGGATGTGTCTTTAATTCTCCAAACAGGGCTTGAACTTATAAAAGAACTCTTGGTAACTTTAGAGAGATTGTTATTGTTGTCAGTGACCAGTTTATATTCTTTGGATCTGTTAGTGTGCTTCAGTTGATTTCCAGCTGCTGGCATCTGCATCTCTTTGTGTGATATTGTTTCCCCCTTCAGGAACTGTGAAGTCTGTTTTGCCTGTATGAGTGGCAGATCAAAAGTACTCTGGGATTAATATCCATGGAAGCAGTAAAGAATCAATGACTAAAAGTGAACACATAAACACCCCATCTCCCCATCTCCTTCACATCTTGGTGAAAGGGGAGAGAGAGTTTCTCTGTGGGTGAAGCTCTAGTTACCACTATGATAAATGGATTAATAGAATATCTTTTATTCACTGCCTCCTATTCCTTGAGTCAGTTCCCTGCTCTACTATTCATGTTTCCTTAGATCTTAATATTAAATGGCTTGAATACAAATGTTTTTTCTGAAGGTCTGCTTCTTGGGAAATCCAAATTAATGTAAGTTGTGAAAGCTTTGAGCAAGTTTTCCTTTCTAGGCTAGCCCAGGAGATTAAGATCTAAATTATGAGCTGGAAATGCAATGACCATGAAAAAATCATGAGGCTCTGGATTCTGCTTTTATCGTCCCTGCTGGTTGGAGTCTACTTGGGTCTCTTGGTAATATAAACATATCATGTATCTTCCTTCATCCAAATGAAGACTTTGACAAGTCCCAGCTCACCACTTCACAGAGAAAGCATTAAGACTAACAGAAAAAAAGATCATCTCAGATATCATGTGGAATTGAAAAGTTTTTTATTTTATATTTTTATGGGTACATAGTATATATATATATATTTATTTATGTGGTATGTGAGCTATTTTGATACAGGCATACAATGTGTAATAATCACATCAGGGTAAATGGGGTGTCCGTCGCCTCAAACATTCAACAATTATTTGTATTATAAACATTGCAATTGTACTTCCACAGTTACTCTAAAATGTACAAAAATTATTTCTGACTCTAATCACCTTTTGCAACCTTGT
This sequence comes from Homo sapiens, assembly GCF_000001405.40. Lineage (NCBI taxonomy): Eukaryota > Metazoa > Chordata > Mammalia > Primates > Hominidae > Homo > Homo sapiens. The sequence goes on along the minus strand of NC_000020.11, from coordinate 7,547,367 downwards.
TATGAATAAGATCAAATATGAGATCTTATGCATTGTGTCTAGCTATAATATGTTTTTGTACCCATTAACCCTCCCCATATCCCCCCAGTCATGCCCTTCCTACTCTCTGTTAACCATCATTCTACTGTATATCTCCATGAGTTCGATTGTTTTAATTTTTAGCTCCCACAAATGAGTGAGAACATGACAACAAGTTTATCTTCCTGTGCCTGGCTTAATTCTCTTAACATAATGTCCTGCAGTTCTATCCACGTTGTTGAGAATGACAGCATTTCATTCCTTTTATGGCTCCATCGTATATATGTCTCCCATTTTCTTTATCCATTCATCTGTCGATGGACACTTAGGTTGATTCTGAACCTTAACTATTGTGAATAGTGTTGCAAAAAAACATGAGAATGTAGATATCACTTCAAAATACTAATTTTCTTTCCCTTGGGTATACATCTAGGAGGTGAAATTCCCGGATCATGTGGTAGTTCTATTTTTTGTTTTTTGAGGATACTCCATACTGTTCTCCATAATGGCTCTACTAACTTACATTTCCACCAACAGTGCACAAGGTGAACTGTTGTAATTTTTGTATACTGTTATTAGAAATGTTATTTAGTACAGCCATTATGGAGCTCCACATCTGTAACCAGCACTCATTATTGCCTAAATTTTGGATAGAAGTTGTTTTAACTGTGATGAAATTAATTCTCACTGTAGTTTTGATTTGCATTTCTCTGATGATCAGTGATGTTGAGCACTTTTTCATACACTTGTCATTTGTATGTATTTTTTGAGAAATGTCTATTCAGATGTTTGCCCATTTTTAATTGGATTATTACCTTTTTTTCCTATTGAGTGTTTGAGCTTTTAATATATTCTGGTTATTAACCCCTTGTCAGATAATTAGGTTGCAAATATTTTCTTCCATGCTATGGGTTGCCTCTTCATTTTGTTGATAGTTTTCTTTGATGTGCAGAAGCTTTTAAACTTGATATGATCCCATTTGTCCATTTTTGCTTTGATTGCCTGTGCTTTTGGGATATTACTCAAGAAATCTTTGACTAGACCAATGACCTGGAGAGTTTCCTCAATTTTTTAGTAGTTTTATAGTTTGAGGTCTTAAATTTAAGTCTTTAAGCCATATTGGTTTGATTTTTGTATACAGCAAGAGATAGGGGTCTAGATTCATTGTTCTGCCTATGGATATCTAGTTTTCCCAGCACCATGTATTGAAGAAACTGTTTTTTCCCCAATATATATTCTTGGCACCTTTGTCAAAAATGTCTTCACTGAAGATGTATGATTTCTGAGATGTCTATTCTGTTCTATTGGTCTGTGTGTCTGTTTTTATGTTACTACCATGCAGTTTTGGTTATTAAAATTCTGTAATATAGTTTGAAGTCAGGTAATGTGATTCCTCCAGTTTTGTTCTTTTTGCTAAGGATGGCTTTAGATATTCTGGGCTTTTTATGGTTCCACATGAATTTTAAGATTGCTTTTTCTATTTCTGTGAAGAATATTGTTGGCATTTTGATAGGTATTGTGTTGAATTTGTAGATTGTTTTGAGCAGTATGTACATTTAACAATATTGATTCTTTCAATCCATGAACATGGAATATCTTTTGATTATTTGTGCCTTCTTTAATTTTTTGCATCAATGTTTTATAGGTTCTATTGTAGAGACTTTTTACTTCTTTGGTTAATTCCTAGGTATTTAATTTTATTTGTGGCTATTGTATTAGGTTGATGCAAAAGTAATTGCAATTTTTTGCCATTACTTTCAATGATAAAAACCACAATTACTTTGGTATCAACATAATAAGTGGGGTTAATTTTTAATTTCTTTTTTAGATTGTTCACTCTTGGCATATAGACATGCTACTGATTTTTGTATTTTGAATTTGTATTTTGCAACTTTACTGAATTTGCATATCAGTTCTAAGAGTTTATTGGTGGAGTCTTTAGGTTTTCACAAATATAAATTCATTTTATTTGCATACAAGAATAATTTGACTTTTTTTTTTTTCACATTCGGATGCCTTTTAGTTCCTTCTCTTGTCTGGTTGCTCTAGCTAGTATTCCAGTACTATGTTGAATAACAGTGGTGAAAGTGGGCATCCTTGTCTTGTTCCAGATCTTAGAGGAAAATCTTTCAGTTTTCCTCATTTAGTATGATACTAGTGTAGGTCTGTTAAGTATGGCTTTTATTGCATTGAAGTTTGTTTCTTCTATACCCAATATTTTTAGCATTTATTGTGAAGGAATGTTGAATTTTATAAAATATTTTTTCCTCATCAGTTAAAATGATTGAATGGTTTTATCTTCATTCTGTTGACATGATGTATCGTGTTGATTGTTTTGTGTATATTGAACCAGCCTTGATTCCTTGGGATGAATTTCACTTGGTTGTGATGAATAATCTTTTGAATGTGTTGTTGAATTTGATTTGCTATTATTTTGTTGAGAATTTGTGCATCATGTTCATCAGAGATATCAGCCTATATGTAGTATTTTTTATGTCTCTTTGTCTGGTTGTGGTATCAGGATAATACTGACTGCACAGAATAAGCCCAGAAGTAGTTTCTTCTCTATTTTTTTCAGAATATTTTGCATAGATTTTGTATTAGTTCTTCTTTAAATGTTTGGTAGAATTCAGGAGTGTATTCTACGTAAGAAAAGTCTCAGGCTTTTCTTTGCAAAGAGACTTTTTTTTTATTATGGCTTTGTTCTCATTACATGTTTTTGGTCTACTCAGGTTTTGGATTTCTTCATAGTTCAACCTTGGTACGGTGTATGTGTCTAGGAATTTATCTATTTCTTCTAGGTTTTCCAATTTATTGGCATGTAGTTGCTCATACTACTCTCTAATGATCCTTTGAATTTCTGTGGTATCAGTTCTAGTGTCTCCATTTTCATCTGTGATTTTATTTATTTGGCCCTTCTCTCTTTTGTCTTAGTTACTCTGGCTAAAGGTTTGTCTATTTTGTTTATTTTTTTTACAAAACCAACTTTTCATTTCAGTAATCTTTTGTAACTTTTTTCAATTTTATTTATCTCTACTCTGATCTTTATTATTTCATTTCTTCTACTGATTTTAAGTTTGGTTTGCCCTTGCTTTTCTAGTTCTTTAAGACTCATTATTTGGTTGTGCATTTGAATTTTTTTCTACTTTTTTAAAATGCGAGCACTTATTGTTATAAACTTTACTCTTAGCACTGCTCTCACGGTATCCCATAGGTTTTGGTATGTTGCATTTCCACTTTATTTGTTTCCAGAAATTTTTACATTTCAATTTTAATTTATTCATTGACCCACTGGTCATTCAGGATCATATTGTTTAATATCCGTGTGTTTTTATGGTTTCCCAATTTGCTCTGGCTATGAATGTCTAGATTTATTTCATAGTCAGAGAAGATACTTGATATAATTTTAAGTTTGTTGAATTATTTAAGATTTGTTCTGTGGCCTAACGTGTGGTCTGTTCTTGAGAGTAATCCACATATGGAGGAGAAGAATGTGTATTCTTTTAGTGTATTCATTTGGTCTGTAGTGAAGATTAAGTTCAATATTTGTTTGTTAATTTTCTGTTTGGATGAGCTGTCCAATGCTGAAAGTAGAGTGTTGAAGTCTACAACTTTTTTTGTATTGGGTTCTGTCTCTCTTTAGCTCTAAGATGTGCTTTATATATCTGGTTGCTACAGTGTTGTATGCATATATGTTTAAATTTTTATATCCTCTTGATCAGTTAATCCCTTTATCATTATAGAATTATCTTGTCTCCTTTTATAGTTTTGTCTTGAAATCTATTTTATGTAATATAAACGTAGATACTTCTGCTCTTTTTTCATTTCAATTTGCATGGAATATCTTTTTCCATCACTTTATTTTCAGCCTATACGCATCTTTATAGGTGAAGTGTGTTTCTTATAAGCACCAGATTGCTGAGTCTTATTTTTCTATGCATTCAGCTACTCTGTCTTTTGAATGTAGAGTTTAGTCCATTTACAGAACAGGTAAGTAGAGACTTAACTACTGCCATTTTGTTATTTATTTTCTGCTTGTTTCATGGTATTTTCTTTCTTCCTTCTCTTCTGTTTTCCTTTTTGTGAAAGTGATTTTCTCTGGTGGTGTTTTAAGTTTTTGCTTTATATTTTTGGTGTATCTTTTGTAGGTTTTTAAATTTAAGGTTATTGAATCTTTCAAATAGCATCTTATAACCCATTATTTTAAACTGATGACAACTTAACTCTACAAAAACAAATAACAAACAAGCAAAGAGAAAACTAACAAAAACTACACTTCACCCCCTTGCCTTTTAGCTTTTTGTTGCTTCAATTTATGTCTTATGATACTGTCTATATTTTTTAAAGTTATCGTTTTTATTTTTATAGTTTTTTGAATTCTTTTTCAATATATAAGTAGTTTACACACCACAATTATAATGTTATAATCTTCTGTATTTATCTCTGCACTTACTGTTACCAGTGAATTTTGTACCCTTAAATGATTTTCTTTCTTTTTTTTTTTTTTGAGACGGATTCTTGGTTTGCCACCCAGGCTGGAGTGCAATGGTGTGATCTTGGCTCAGTGCAACCTCCACCTCCCGAGTTTAAGGGATTCTCCTGCCTCAGCCTCCTGAGTAGCTGGGATTACAGGTGCCCGCCACCACGCCTGGCTAATTTTTGTGTTTTTAGTAGAGACAGGGTTTCACTATTTTGGCCAGGCTGGTCTTGAACTCCTGAACTCAGGTGATCCACTTGCCTCAGCCTCCCAAAGTGCTGGGATTACAGGTGTGAGACACTGTGCCCAGCCCCCTTAGATGATTACTTATTGCTCATTAATGTCCTTTTAATTCAGTTTGAATAACTCACTTTAGCATTTCTTGTAGGACAGATCTGGTGTTGATGAAATTCCTCAGCTTTTGTTTGTCTGGGAAAGTCTTTATTAGTCATGTTTGAAGGATATAATCACTGGATACAATATTATAAAAAACTTTTTTTGAGCACTTTAAATATTTCATGCCACTCTCACCAGGCCTGTAAGGTTTCCATTGAGAAATCTACTGCCAGACGTATTGGATTTCCTTTATAGAGGTTTTTTGTTTTTTTTGGCGGCGGGGGCGGGTGGTGGTGTGGTTTGCTGCTGTTAGGATCCTTGACTTTTGGGAATTTAATTGTCAAATTACTGAGGTAGTTTCATTTGGGTTAAATCTGCTTAGTGTTCTACAACCTTCTTGTACTTGAATATTGTTATCTTTCCCCAGGTTTGAAAATATCTTTTTTATTATCCATTCAAATAAACTGTCTACCCTAATCTCTCTCTCTATCTCCTCTTTGAGGCCCATAACTTTTAGATTTGCCCTTTTGAGGCTATTTTCTAGATCCTGTAGGCATGGTGTATCATTTTTTATTCCTTTTTTTTTGACTTCTCTGACTTTATTTTCAAATAGTCTGTCTTCAAGCTCATTCATTATTTACTGCACTTGAACTATTCTGCTGTTTAGAAACCCTGATATATTCTTCACCTTGTCAATTGCATTTTTTCAGCTCCAGAATTTCTGCTTGGTTCTTTTTAATTATTTTAACCTCCTTTTTATATTTATCTGATTAGATTCTGAATTCCTTCTCTGCATTATCTTGGATTTCATTATGCTTCCTCAAAACAGCTATTTTGAATTCTTTGTCTGAAAGGTGACATGTCTCTATCAGTGTGGGATTGGTCACTGGTGCCTTATTTAGTTCATTTGGTGAGGTCATATTTTCCTGGATGGTCTTGATGCTTTTGGATGTTTCTTGATACCTGGGCATTGAAGAGTTAGATATTTATTGTAATCTCTATGGTCTGGGCTGGTTTGTACTCATCCTTCTCGGGAAGGCTTTCCAAGTATTCAAAAGGAATTGAGTGTTGTGACCTGAGTCCTTGGTCATAGCAGCTGTATGTGTATTAAGGAGCAGTCCAGGCTCAGTAACACCACAATTTTTAAAGACTTGTAGAGGTACTGCCTTGATGGTATTGGGCAAGATCCTAGAGAATTTCCTGGATTATCAGGCAGAATCTGTTGTTCTCTTCCCTTATTTTCCTCCAAACAAATTGTGTCTCTCTCTTTCTGTGAGAAGCTGCCTGGAGTTGGTGGAGGGGTAACAAAAACATTTCCGTGGCCACCACTGCTGAGACTGTGCTGGATCACACCTGACATCAGCACAGCAATGGGTCTTGTCCAAGGCCTGTAGTGACTATTTCCTGGCTACTGCTAATGTTTATTCATGTCGCAAGGGCTCTGTAGTCAGCAGATGATAAGTCTTGTCAGGACTGGCTCTTTCCCTTCATTGCAGCAGGTTCCCTTCTGGCCCAGGGTGGGTCTAGAAATGCCATCCAGAAGCTAGGGCCTGGGATCAGAGGTTTTAGCAATCTGCTTGGTGCTTTATTTTCCTGGGGCTGTACTGGTATCCAGACTGCAAAACAAAGTCCTCTTTACTTTTCCTTCTATTTTCCTCAAGCAGAATGAATATCTTCCCATGGCCACCGCAGCTGAGATGGCAGTTGCCGATTGGTTATTGCTGATGTTTATTCAAAACCCAATGGCTCTTTAGTCAGCAGATGGTAAATTCTGCCAGGCATTGGTTCTTCCCTTCAGGACTATGGGTTCCCTTCTGGCCCAGGTGGGTCTTGAAATATTGTCCGTGAGCTATGGCCTTGAATGGGGTCTTTGAGCTCTGGTTGATGCATTATTTTACTGTCTGAGCTAGTATCCTAGTTGCAAGAGAAAGTCATCTTTACTCTTCCCTTTTCTCCCAGAGCTGTGACCTTCAGTGCTTAAGAGTTGGAGGCAGAGTAATGCATGCATTCCTTTTGTCACTGGGGCTGGTGTCTCACTGGCTCACATGCATCCCAAGTCCACCGGCCTCAAGCCAAACGCAAAACCAGAAATTGAAGTCCTTGCAGCCTACGTTGTTTTTCCAGTTTATTTAGAACCCCAGAGCAGTTTAGCCCATGGTGGTGGGGCTAGCCAGAACTCAGGTTCCAACTACTAGGATGGACAATCTCACTCTGGCTAGGGCTAGTATAAATGCTTCCTACTTGAGTGCTGGCTGAATTCTGCCCTGTGTTGCTTTCCACTGTGACAGGGCAGTGCTGAGTCCTAGTGCAAAGTCCTACAATCACCTTGCTCTCCCTCCCCCAGGCACACAGATTCTCTCTCCCTATGATGTTCCACTGCTGGTGGGTGGGGGAGGGCTGGTATAGGAGATTCAAGACTGTCCTACCCTCTTCAGTGCCTCTTGCTGTGATATAATGTTTAATCCAGTTACTGTGATTGCTCATCTGAGCCTTTGTTATTATGAAGGTGTTTTATTGTGTGGATAGTTGTTCAATTTAATGTTCCTGAAGGAAAGATGATCACTGTAAAGTTCTATACAGACACTTTGCTCCATTTCCTCCAGGAATTAAAATTTTGAGAAATTATATGGATACATACCGTATTATGAGGAATCTGCTACAGTGATGACGTAAAGTATTTTTTAAAATTTCCTTCTTCTGTGGCTCCAAGTGGGAATGAACATGGGGGAAAAGATGATGAATGTTAACCTAAAATGGGATGGAAACAGAAATCATAAGAAAATGACCTCTTTTAGTTAGGTATGATTTTTGGAAATCAATCTTTCCTTCCTCAATAAGAATGGAAGTGTTAAAATTAATTTCATCATATTGATTCAATAATTACAAATTTTTGGACTTAGAGTCACACAGAATCATGGTTTTGGGGCACAATTTATAAATTGTCCATCAAGGAATCTTTTTTTTTTTTTTTTTGAGATGGGGTCTCACTCTGTCACCAAGGCTGGAGTGTGCAGTAGCACAATATCGACTCACTGCAACCACCACCTCCCAGGCTCAAGCGACCTTCCTGCCTCAGCTTCCTGAGTAACTGGGACCAGAGGCACCTGCCAGCACAGCTGGCTAATTTTTTGTATTTTTGGTAGAGACGAGGTTTCACCATGTTGCCTGGGCTCGTCTCAAGCTCCTGAGCTCAAACTATCCACCTGCCTTGGCCTTCCAAAGTGCTGGAAGTACAGGCTTGAGCCACTGCATCCGGCCCAAGGAATCTTAATGCATTAAGATGGTTCAAGCTAGTACAGAAAACTTGTTAACATCTCCAAATCCCATTAAAATTACAGATTATAAGTGTTCTAAGTGGAAAAAATCCATAGCATTGTGAAAAAACAAACAAACAAACAAATGCCTTCCACTTTCAAAGAAAACAGGAGAAAGGACTGGCAGTAAATTCAAGATATGGCTGCATTCTCTTTTGATGATGCAGACAGGACCAGAATGATGGATATGCTAAGAACAAGGGTTATGAAAACAAGCACAGCCCATGGAGGTGAAATCATTCTTTATGCCAGAACTGAGAGACAAGATGCACAAACTTGAAGGTGTGAAGGAAGAAATAGTTTGAGGGACAGTGTTCCATGTATTGAATCTTGAGATAATTTTTATGATGTTACATTTGATTAGGGTTTACTACAATGCCAAGAAAGTGTTTTCTATTTTTTGGGTGATTCAGACACATAGTATATTAGTGTTTCAGGGCATATCTTCTGGAGCTAGGCAACATGTATTTGAACATCTCCAGACACTAGCTTTGGGCAGGGTAGGTAACCTCTGCACTTCTTTTCACTAGTCTGGAAAATGAGAATAATATTAACAGCAATATCAACAACATAGAGTTCTACAGAACAAATGAGTTATGATAGGTAAAGCACAATGCTTGACAAGTAAAATGCACTAAATTATATTAAATTTTATTATGTTGGAAGGTTTATCTGAGCTCCAAATTCCTAAACACAACTGACCCCTGGACATCTTTAATTTATGCCTGAAAGGTTGAACTGAACATATCCCAAAGGAAACTGAACACATTCCCAAGAAAATTAATGTTTTCTTCCTCAAAGCTAGGTCATATTTTAATGTTACCTCTCTTAGTGAACTAAATCCCCAGACTTCTATATCCACTAGTAGAAATATGGGACTTATTTTTGACACCTCCATCAAGCTCACCCCCTACATGCAACATATCAGCAAATCCTGTCAATGTTGCCTCCAAATAGATCTCAAATCCTTTCATTTCTCTCTATTTCTCCTACTACCACCCTATATTTTTTAACTGAAAATCATCTATACTTTTACAAATTCAGGTAAAATATACATATAAAGTTTACTATCTTTACCATTTTTATGTGTACTGTTGAGTGGTAACAAAGACATTTATATATTTTCTCCTCCATTACCCATTTAACCCATGATATAAGAATCCCATACTACAGCAGTAGCCTCCTATAGGGTCTTATCTCATCTGCTCTTGGCCTTCTCTCATTCTGAGTCATAGGGGAATTTATTCAAAATACAAATCTGATTATATAATACTGTCTTCTACAATATCTTCACATGCTCCCAACTGCTCTTAGGGTTAAGACCAAAATTTTTAAGCAAACTACAATCTGGACCCTACCTATCTCTTCAATCACACAATACACCACTTTTCCCTTCAGCACCCTTTGACCTTTATTGAATATTTAAGGATGCTGGTCGCTGGGTCTAGTATGCTGTCCTGCCTCTTCAACCTACTACCACACCTTCATTTGTCAAATTGCACTTTATCACTTGCTCAGAGCAGTTCTTCCTGATATTCCTACATGAAGTCCTTCTTTTATAAACTTACAACACCATGAATCTTAACTTCCTAACATTTATTCCAGTTATACATTTTCCTTATTTTTTTTTAAGAGACAAGCTCTCGCTCTGTCACCCAGGCTGGAGAGCAGTGGCATCATCATAGCTCACTGCAGCCTTAAACTCCTGGGATCCAGAAAATCATCCAAATTCAGCCCCGTGAGTAGCTAAGACTGCAGGTGTGCTCCACCACACTTGGCTGATTTTTAAATTTTTTGTAGAGTTGGCATCTCACTATGTTGCCCAGGCTGATCTTGCACACCTGACCTCTGGCAATCCTCCTGCCCCGGCCTACCAAAATGCTGGGAATTTATAGGTGTGAGCCACCATCCCCAGCCTAGGTTTTAAATTTAATTTTAAAACGTAAATTTTTACGTATTAATTTTTGAAATAAAATTCAAAAATTTAATTTCTCTTAATTTAAATTTTCCCTTATTATTTAAAGAATGTTTTATGCACTCTATTAATTGCAGCAACTAACATAAACAAACAAATAAGAATGTATAACTGAATGTTCACAGAGTGAAATTGGATTTGTTAAATTAACATTTATAGATACAGAAGAGTAAACAAATCAGAAATGTACAGACTGATAAAATGTTAGACACACCCTTGTGTAATCATCACATGAATAAAGAAACCAGAATCCTATAAGCCCACCTGGTATTCTCTTTTATTCACTATACTCACTCTTCTTTCTAAAGATAGCCACTATCCTCATTTTACCAACAAGAATAAGTTGATTATGCAATCATATAAATGAAATCAGAAGTACAAGTTCTTGTGTATGTGTGTGTCTGTGTTTAATAACATTATGTTGGGATATTTATTCATTCAATTTCTGTATAGTATTTTGCTGTGGTACTTAACATTTGATTGTTTTAATTTTCTATCTACTATACTAATGTTGGTAGGAACATCCTTATATATGTATTTTAGCGATTGTATGTATACATGCTTTTTGGGTATAATCCTAGAAGAGAAATTTAAGTATACTTAGGTTGAGATATAATTAAATACTGCCAAGTAGTTTTCTAAGGTGCCTGTACAATTTATATCTATATATTAGATGAAAGTCCAATTGCTCTGTTCCTACACTTTGGTATTTTCTGCTTTTTTCATTTTACTTTGCTAGTAGGTGCATGGTTGATTTAATTCATCTAATGACTAATGATATTGGACACCTTTTATTATGTTTATTGGCCATTTGGATGATTTATTTTATAAAGTATATATTACATATTTTTGCCCAGTTTTTTAAATTGTATTTTTGCATAAGTTATTTGGATACAGTTGGTATTTGGTTAGATGAGTAAGTTCTTTAGTGGAGATTTGTGAGGACCTGGTGCGTCCATCACCCGAGCAGTATGCACTGCACCATATTTGTAGTCTTCTATCCCTCACCCCCTCCCACTTTTCCCTGCAAGTCCCCAAAGTCCATTCTGTTATTCTTATGCCTTGCGTCCTCATAGCTTAGCTCCCACATATGAGTGAGAACATACAATATTTGGTTTTCCATTCTTGAGTTACTTCACTTAGAATAATAGTCTCACCTAGGTCATTGAAATGCTGTTAATTCATTCCTTTTTATGGATGAGTAGTATTCCATCATATATATGTGTGTGTGTGTATCAGAGTTTCTTTTTCCACTCATTGATTGATGCTTGCCCTTGTTTTTTAATGTGTCGCCTGCTTCTTTGTTGACTTGTAGAAGTATTTAATAGATTTTGGATCTAAACCTTTTATAAAGCGTATTCATTGACATATATTCTCCTTGTATCTAGCTTATATTTTTAGTCTGTCAATTCTGTTTCGATGAATGGATCTTCCTTTTGATAGACTCCAATTCATCAACAATCTCCATTATGGTTAGTGCTTTATTGTCCTATAAAAATGTTTCTAAAATTACAGATTTCTTATCCTGTGTTTTATTCTAAAAGTATTATTATTTTTATGTTTAGTTCTATAATGAATCTGGAAAAATTTTTGCACATGCTGTGAGGTAGGAGTCCAGTCTTATGTTTCTCATATTGTATAGATTATTTACTCAGAACAATTTACTGAAAAGTCCTTCTTTACCAACTGTACTGCAATGCTGTCTTTGACATGATTGAGTGACTATAAACATGTGGTTCTATTTCTAGACTCTCTTTGTTTCTCCCACTATTTTTTTTTCTTTTTGTTGGAGTAACTACACTGTCTTAATTACTATAGCTTTATAGTAAGTATAGATATCTGATAGTATAAATCCATGCTTTTTTCTTCCTCAATATTGTCTTGAATATGCCAATTCATTTGTTATTTCCATATAAGTTTTATAATCATCTTTTTAATTTCCATCAAAAAAATCTATATTTTTATTGGAATTATACAAAATTTGAAGAGAACTGACATCTTTGTGATACTAAGTCACATAATTTATTACTATATTTCTTCATTTATTTCAATGTTATTTAATTTGCCTCAACATTTAACAGCTTTTAGCATAAAGTCATGTTTACCATTCATTACATTTATTCCCAGAAATTTATACTTTTGGTATCATTGTAAAGCATGTTTTTTTAAATTTACTTTTTATTTGTTGTTGCTGGTATCCAATTAATTTTTTATATTGGTCTTATATTTGGTGATCCTTCTAAATTTATTAATGTAATAGCTTATGCTAGATTATTATTTTGTATGTGTGCCATCATTTTCTTTATAAATCTATCTATCCATCTATCAAATGTCTTATTTCATTGGCTGGTCCTCATAATACAGAGTTGAAAATCTTGATGACAGTGGCAATCTTTGTTTTTCTTCTAACTTAGAGAAAATACTTTAAATATTTCATCTGTGTTTATTGTGGGCTTTCTGTGAATATCTCTGATCACATGGAGGACATTCTCTTCTATTCCTAGGTTTTAAGTAATTACTTAAATTTTTAAATGAGTGATTGAATTCTACAAATGCTTTTTCTGCACCCATAGAAATAATAAAACTGTTTCCATCTTTTTTTCTCAAAATGTAACAATAACATTGTTTGATATCTGACTGTTACAATTTACATTTGATTTTGAATGTTAACTCCCATGTGATAATGATTACACACATACAATTGCATTTGGTGCACTAATAATGTATCTATTCAGATCTTATCCAGCAATGTTGGTGAGAGAGATTAATCTGTAGTTTTCCATTCTTACAATGTCTTTATTAGGTTTTATTATCAAAATTATGCTGCCTCTCATAAAAAGCTGAGATGTATTTTTCTCTTTTTCTTTCCTTTTAAAATATTTGTAAAAGATTGATATTATTTCTTCCTTAAATGTCTGGGAAAATTAATCTCTTATTCCCCCTGGGCCTGAAATTTCTTTGTATAAGGTTTGGATAACAAATATTATTTTTAAAATGGCTACAAGCACATTAAAAATTGTTTTCCATTTTTTATTGTATCAGCTTTGTTAATTTGTCTTCTTCAAGTAATTTATATACTTCATCTTAATTGTCAAAGTTATTGGTATAATTGTTTCTAATACCTATAATTATGTTTTTGTTGTCAATAAGAACTGTAGTGTTGTCCCTCTTTTCAGTTATAATAGCAATTTCTATTCTGTCAGTCTCTCTCATAAACAGTCTGATTCAGATTTTTTCAACTTCATTACTCTTTACAGAGAAACAATTTTTGATTTGTTGCCTTTTCTAGTGAATATTTAGTTTTATTATGTATTTTATGGATTTCCACTATTACTTTACTCATTTCTTTCTTTCATTTCATTTGAATTTTATTTTCTGGAATTCTGTTTTCAGAAGTTTGATATTCAAACTTCTCAAAACTGAAGTTTTCCTCTAATATATGCATTTCAGGCTTTGCTCTATTCTTAGAGTTTGACATATCCAACCTTATCTTTTTTTCAGAATAAATATTTAAAATTTTGTTTTTTCTTTGATCTGCAAGTTATTTAGAAGGATATTGTTTAATTTCCAGGCACCAAGTGGTGATTTTTTGGGTGGCTAGCTGTGTCTGATTTATTATTATACTCATATTGATTTTTTGACTAAATATTGTATAATTCAGTTTGATAATTCCAATTTTATTTTCATAGATTTTAATACTCTTCTAAAACATTTCCTCTTACTTTTCATATTATTCACCTTTTCTTCTATATTTAAAATATATGAATCATAATTTATGACCAGCAACGAAAAAAATAAACAAACACTAGAAACAAACCCAGAGGTGATCCAGAAATAAACAGTAGCTGACAAAGATTTTAAAATAACTAAAATTAATATATTCAAGAGAGCATAAGTGGAGAATACATGAAAAAAGATATAAGACTTGTGAAATATAGTAAATAATTATTTCTTTCTCTTCTCCTCCAGCTCTGACCATAGTAGTCCCCCTTATTGGGGTACATATGTTCCAAGAGCCCCTGTGGATGGCAGAAACCATGGATAGTATCAAACCTTCTATAAATTGTGTATGTCTAATCTGAAAATCTGAAATCTGAAACGCTTCAAAATCCTACACCTTTTGAATACTGACATGATGCTCAAAGGAATACTCGTTGGAGCATTTTGGATTTTGGATATTTAGATTAGGGATGCTCAACTAACAAGTATATTGGAGATATTCCAAAATTCAAAAGAATATAGATCCAAATCCACCTATGGTCCAAATCTTTTCACATAAGGATTATTCATCCTTTATATACTAATGGGCAGGTAGCACATATGGTATGGCTATGCTGGACAAAGTGATGATTCATGTCTTGGACGAGACTGAGAAGGAGAGTGTGAGATTTCATCTCACTACTCAGAAGGACACGCAACTTAAAACTTATGACTTGTTTATTTCGGGGATTTTCTACTTAATATTTTTGAAACATGGTTTGTCATAGGTAGCTGAAACTATGGAAAGTAAAACTGCAAATAAGGAGGGACTACCATGTATAATTGTTGTCCCAGAAAGAGAAGAGAGAGAAAATGTGACAGAAGACATTTTGAATATAAAATGGTCCAAAAAGAAATAAAAAATAAAAACAAAGAAACACATTAATTTACAAATTCTTCTCTTTCCATTCTGTGTAAGACCTTCATTTAAGAACGAGATGATTCCTACTCACTCACTCAGAGGAGCATACATTTAAATTAAATTCCTTGTAATGTCATCTGACATAATTCACAATGTCACAAATAACTTGATCTTTAAAAGATGTATGACAAATCAGCTCCAAACAAAGACAATTCAAAAACATAGGGTAAGATTACAGAGGAATAGAGTGGGGGTCCTTTTGCATTGGAAAGAGGTAATGAATTGGAGGGAGGAGTAACAGAATATAAATGTATAAACATTTTTTTTTCTGCTTCTAAAACTTGGGTCTATCCACTATCGAAAGATTAAATGAGACTTTCCCTATAGTTAGAATTTGTGGCGACTCAATCCCCAAGCTGAAATCAGGGAGACATTAAATGCATTAAATATTTCAACATTCTAAAGAGAACTACTAATAATTGGTACTGGACATGCTATTCAGGTTTTAGTAAGAGGCAACTGGATCTTCTTTGCTGTCCCAACTTTTATCCCAGCACCTCTTGTCTTTATTCCTTATTTTCCAGTTTCCTTCTCCTTTCTCTCCAATCAATTTACTGGAGGAAGGAGAGGAAAAGGATGTTGTTATAGTCATAAAGAGTTCAATGTTTATGCAAGAACAGCATTTCCTTGCTGCATTCCATCAAATCAAATAAGACAGGACTTCAAAGGAATCACCTTATAAATAGAGCATATCTGCATAAACTGCACCCCTTTTTCCCAGATTGATCTCTAGCCTACTCTAGTATTGTCATTAGAATGAGTTATGGTGAGAAAATTCTATGGAGAGATTGCCATGTATGCCCTGGTGATTTTTAGAGGTACATAAATGTAGAGATGTATTCCTGTGTCTCATTTTTGGCTCTCTAAAGGCTGAAGCCTTGCGTGGTTAGCGAAAAGCAGAGGGATGGGGAATGACCATGCTTGTTATGCCTGGGAAAAAGAGGAGCCCTTCCCTCCGCAACTCCAACTCACATACCATATCCCTTTGGCTTTCAGATGGTATGGAAGAGGATTTCTATAGCTCTCGTAGTTCTGTATGAAATATATAGGGTTAGGGGCAAAGCAGGATCAAAAGGACTACCAAAGAAGCTACCAGCCAAGCTAGGAGATGTGCAATCTGATCTCTAGAGGTGGAAAGTGGTGTTGATCATTTGCAGAGACTAAAGAGAGATAAATGATTATCTTTCTGTAGGTATATGTGGCCTTCTATCCCCCCTCCCTTTCCTCAAGACTGGTGGAATTGATTCAAGATGGGAGAAAGGGAAGAAAAGAGCAAAGTGAGACTACTCCTTTCTCTACTCCAAAATCCTAGATTTAGAGAAGTAAAAGCATAGACAAGGACACCTATACACTCTATCTCCACAAGCTCTACCACCCTGGATATGTTGAAAGGACAGACATAAGACATAATATAGGAATTTTGAATTAGATTAGACTGAATTATCAATTATTTATCTTAAACAGAAAGGTATGTGTTGTGTTAAAAATGTTACATTGTTACTATGCAGAACTTGGGAGAAAAAATAATGGGTTTATACTTATGCCTCAATAAATTTGGACTTAACAATAAGCCAGTTACATGAGATTCTTATGCAAATTTACCTTCTTCATTGGTTGCTGATAGATAAAGCCTATTGTAAAAGAACTTAGATTAAAAAATTGGAATTTCTTAGCAATTTGGGATGATCTTGTTGCTAGAGAAATTGCTGCCTGAGGAAAACTAATGTTAATAAAATGCTCAGATCCTGTATCCCTAAATTTATGCTATACTTACTGCTGATTAAAATTTGGACATTAGCTAGGGTTGGGGAATCTTTTAACTGCAATAAGATCTTGAGTATAATGGTGTCTTCTCTAATAGTATTATTGACTTGTTTCTTTGGGATTACAATGGCTAGAGGAAAATAGGTAATTGTTTTCTACATTACTTTAAATATACATCAATAAATACATCCATTTTACTTATTGATTAATGTTTCAATTTCAAATACATTCACCAGCTTTCTTCTTTTAATGTAAAATAATGAAAATAAGTTCAGTGATCAAATTAAATACAGATTAGTAGGTAGTTGACTGTAACAGGTTTCAAATGGAGTATAAAAAAAATTGTTCAAATTCTTTACACATTTGGTAGAATTCAGCTGTGAATCTATCTGGTCCAGGGAATTTTTCTTTTCTTCATAGGACTTTTATTACTGATTTAATTTCAGAGCTTGATATTGGTCTATTCAGGGTTTCAATCTTTCTGATTCAATCTTGTGAGATTGTGTGTTTCCAGGAATGTATTTATTTCCTCTAGATTTTCTAATTTGCCTGCATAGAGGTGCTCATAATAGTCTCTGTGGATCTTTTGTACTTCTGAGGGGGCAGTTGTTACACATCTTTTTCATCTCTGATTGCCTTTATTTTGATCTTCTCTTTTTCACTCTTTGCTAATCTAACTAGTGGTCTTTCAATCTTTGTTTATTTATTAATTTTTTAAAAAACCAATTCTTGATTTTATTGATCTTTTGTATAAATTTTTGCATCTTAATGTCACTCTGTTCTTCGCTAATTTTACTTATTTCTTTTCTTCTGCTAGCTTACGGGTTGGTTGGTTATTTTTTTCCTGGTTCCTTTAGGGTGCAAAGTTAGGTTGTTAATTTGTAATCTTTCTAACTTCTTAATTAAGTTGTTTAGGGCTATAAACTTTCCTCTTAACACTGCTTTAGCTACATCCCATAGATTTTGGTAAGTTCTCTTCCTATTTTCATGAATTTCAAAAACTTTTTTGATTTCTACCTTAATTTTGGTGTTCGCCCCAAAGTTATTCAGGAGTAAGTGACTTAATTTCCATATATTTATATAGTTTTGAGACTTCTTTTTGATATTGATTTCTATTTTTATTACACTGTGGTCCAACAGTGTGCTTGGTAGGATTTCAATTTTTTTTTTTTTTTTTTTTTTAGTTTATGGAGACTTCTCCTGTCTGAGCATGTGGCCAATCTTAGAATATGTTCCACATGCAGATGAAAAGAATGTATATTCTGTGATTGCTGGTTGGAATGTTCTACAGATGTCTATTAGGTTAACTGCTCCAACGTCTAGTTTAAGTCCATAGTTTCTTCATGAGTTTACTGCCTTGATGACCTGTTTAATCTTGCCAGTGGGGTGTCAATGTCTCCCACTATTATTGTATAGTTGTCTGGGTTTTGTGATAAGTCAAAAACTTTTTTTTTGTTTTTAATTCAGGTGCTCCAATGTTGGGTGTGTATATATTGGAATAGTTAATTCTTCTTGTTGGATTGTACCCTTTGTCATTATGTAATTCCCTTCATCGTCTTTCTTATTTATTTATTGTTTTTTGTCTAAAGTCTGTTGTATCTATTACAAGAATAAGGACTCCTTGTCCTCCCCTACCCTTGTATGATTTTTGAACTTGTGAGTGTTATTACATGTGAGATGGGTCTCTTAAAGACACAGATGGTTGGGTGTTATCTTTTCAATCTATGTCTTTTATGTGGGGAATTTAGTCCATTTGCATTCAGTGTTAGTATTGATATGTGAGATTTTGATCCTGGGTCATGTTGTTAGCTGGTTGTTATGCAGATTTGATTGTTTTATACTGCATGTGGGCTATGTTCTTAAGTGTGGTTTTGTGGTAGCAGGTATCATTCTTTCAATTCCATGTTTAACACACTCTTAGGAGCCTCTTTTAAGGCTGGTCTAGTTGAAATAAATTCACTCAGCATTTGCTTGCCTGAGAGAGATTGTATTTCTCCTCCACTTATAAAGCTTAGTTTGGCAGAATATGACTTTTTTTTGGGGGGGGGGATTTCTTTTATTTAAGGACACTGATAATGGGCTTTTAATCTCTTCTGGTTTGTAAAGTTTCTTCTGAGAGATCTGCTGCTAGCCTGATGGGGTTGCCTTTGTATGTGACTTGACCTTCATCTCCACCCATTTTTTTTTTTTTTTTTTTTGAGACAGAGACTCGCTCTGTCAGCCAGGCTGGAGTGCAGTGGCATGATCTCGGCTCACTGCAACCTCTGCCTCCCAGGCTCAAGCAATTCTCCTGCCTCAGCCTCCTGAGTAGCTGGGATTACAGGCTTGTGCCACCGCACCCAGCTAATTTTTGTACTTTTAGTAGAGACAGGGTTTCACCATGTTGGCCAAGCTGGTCTCTAACTCCTGACCTCAGGTAATCCACCCACCTCGGCCTCCCAAAGTGCTGGGATTACAGGCGTGAGCCACTGCGCCCAGCCTCCAGCCACTTTAAAGATTATTTCTTTTGCATTGACCTTGGTGAATCTGATGGCTATGTGCCCTGGAGGTGGTTGTTTTGTTTAGTGTCTAGCTAGGTTTCTCTGTGTTTCTTGGATTTGCATGTTAATCTGTCTAGAATGATTAGGAAAATTTTCATGGACTACTTCCTCAAGTATACTTTCCAAGTTGCTTATTCTCTCTCCTCTGCAAGGTATGTAATGAGTCATAGTTTTGGTCTTTTTATGGATTTGAAAAAATATGCAATTCTTATAAGTATGTAGTAAAATAATACCTTAGAATATTAATTCATGTTCTCTCCTCCTCTTATACTTTCTGTCTGTCATGTAATTAAGTCTGGACTATGCATTGTAATGGAGAAAATTAAGATCAAAATAGCAAAAGTGCAAAGGGAAGTAAATACTGAAGATTAAAATTTGACTTAGTGGATCCTAAATCCCACTGCAGCAATGATACATCTAAGAGGTAATGGTATTAATTTCAGAGACACATTATTAGCTATATCTTTGGAATAATCCTTTCCTAACATTAAAATAGGAGAAAAAAGTCCTTCCTGGGAAGAGGTGGGAGGATCAGATTTGGAAGAGGAGTTTGAGAATGTGTGCTTGCGAAAGGGGCTTCACATCATATCTCTCCCAGAGTAGAAACTGTTAATGTGGAGTTAGAGATGTTCTGAGCCAATATAAGTATTTCTTGCTCCCTATTTTCCTATACAAAGTGTGGTGAAGAAGGCTTTGAAGAGTCCATACTGACATGGGATAACTAGAGCAGGGCAAAGATAATGCCAGGAGAAATCTAGATAGAGAGGAAACCTGAGGCACAAGGGGGCAGGAAAGTGGAGAAGCCCCCTTTAGTTTCTTGTGCCACTTAAAGTTGTGTGCAGTTTGGCCAAAAGAGGGCTGGTGGATCTAGCAGGGCTGGCTGGTTAGAAACAAAGAGGACATAGCATGGCTTCTTCTTCTTAGGCTATGGCTTCCAAAGAGTAGGCTTGGAACATGGAGATTCAGGATGCATGGAGGCTAGGATGCTGGGAAATACAGTGAGGATAAAAAGAACCAAGGGGTAAATATCAGTAGACTTTGTATGTGCAAATGGATTCCAATTTAACCCCCAAACCATAATGACAGATTCAGAATTAAATATGATCAAGACTTCTATAAGTGAATTTCAAAGTGTTACCAGTAAAGTTTGTGTTTTTTTCTTTCCATTCAGGCAACGAATTTGGTGGAAAATTCAGATGAGTGCATTGACCATGATATGACAATGACAAAAGCTTTAGTTTGCCAGCATTGTCATTTCTTCCAGCCAATGACATTCCAGGGCCTGAGAAACCAGCAAAGTAACTGACTGGTTTAAAAATAATAATGTGCAGGCCGGGCGCGGTGGCTCACGCCTGTAATCCCAGCACTTTGGGAGGCCGAGGCGGGCGGATCACGAGGTCAGGAGATCGAGACCATCCCGGCTAAAACGGTGAAACCCCGTCTCTACTAAAAATACAAAAAATTAGCCGGGCGTAGTGGCGGGCGCCTGTAGTCCCAGCTACTTGGGAGGCTGAGGCAGGAGAATGGCGTGAACCCGGGAGGCGGAGCTTGCAGTGAGCCGAGATCGCGCCACCGCACTCCAACCTGGGAGACACAGCGAGACTCCGTCTCAAAAAAAAAAATAAATAAAAAATAAAAAAATAAAAATAATAATAATAATAATAATGTGCATGGCAGGATAAAAAGACATTTGGGCATCAGTGCTGCCGTTCTATCACCAGCATTGTTTCCACCAAATTTGTAGTCTGTATATGGGTCCATGCAAAATGAATTTCTGTGAATCCAAAACAACATAAAAGCTGGCAAAAATTTATGTATTATAATGTGAATATATTCTCAAAGTAGAGCCATGCCTTAAGAAAAAAAGCCACTATTTATCATGATGCAAGACTTTAAAATATAAGATCATCATGAAAGTCAGCCAGCTCTTATGGATTACCTCTGTGTGATTGCCCATAATCTATCCCTGCAATACACTTTTTCATATATCACATTTTATTTTTAATATTTTTCGCCTTATTTTTTCACCATTTTAAATTGTCATCATTTTTTTTAACACTCTATGCTATGTATTTCATCTTTACATCATTTCCAATACTGGATATATAAATTGTGCAAAAACTTTTAGAGAGTTCTATTTTGTTTTATGCATTTGTGTTGCAAATTTGACAATACAAAGTTGTATTACTACAAAGCTGAGTTTGTGTGAAAGCATTGTGTGCATACGTAAAAATGTTGAAACTTCTTTAATAAATGAAGAGGTATCCTTTTTATACATCTATATTTGTGAAACATAAAATTTCTCAAGATCTCATCTCTTTGGGTGAATGCATATGCTGTGGTGATCCATCCCAGTTTTTGATTGATCTCATCAAAAGACTTAGGTCATCCATTGTGGTATTTCAGATGACTGCAACTATATAAGGAATTTATTCATACATGTAGTTTGTCTCCTTCTGCTTTGCCTGTGCAACTGCAATTAGTATATCTGAGTGTCCATGCTTGCAAAAATATGTATGCTATTATTGCCTGTTTTATGACATAAAGTAGCCTATAAAAATGTTCTGTTGTTTTTATATGTTTCTCATGCAAATTCCCTTTTAGCAATGTAAATAAATATTTTTAAAATATTTTAAAATTATTTTTCCCAGAATTTTATTTTATTTTGGGATTTCAACATTAAGGATTTGGTGTTCAGGGATTGTGTCTTCTGGGACTATGATCAGCTTCCCTCAAAAAAAACACAAGAGCCTAGAAGGATGTAGGATGCCCATTTTTGAGTATTGAAAGAAAAGAATTGTCAACTCAAAATCTTATTTCCAGTTAAAATATCCTTTAAGAATGGAGAAGGAATCAAGACATTATGTTACGAGACTAGGATATTATTTAAGGCTTTTGTTTTAACTGGCTTCTTCTGATACCACTTTTGTTGGGGGGGCAGGTGGGGAGTGAGGTACCACTTCATTACTGCCAAGTGGAGGTAGAAGTCCAGGATTCTCCCTAAATTTCCACTGATAACTGAGGGGAAGGCCGTCATTACAGAGGACCAGCTATGGTTTAGGAAACCAACAAATGATGTCAAAGCAGCAGGAACAGCTATCAGGAGGTCTTAGGGGCACTTGGCTTGTTACTCCCCTAATCAATAGTAGTGAGTGGAGTTACTGATACTTAGAGGCACTGTGGCCATGGGCAGAGGGATGAAGTCACTGCTCCCTGGCTAGGGAGAGTAGGTGTGCATCATTACTGCTCTCCACATGGCCTCTGCTAACTCCATGGTGGAGGCATGACCTTATTAGTGATGAACAGAGATGAAATTCTTGACTCTCCATGGGCCTCCTCTCATACCACCCCAGTGGGAAGACAGAGGGACACCTTGTTACTTCCAGGTAAGAATGGAAGTGCTGGCTCCCTATTTGGTCTTCATTGACATGGTAGGAAAAGAGGAAACTTGTAATCAATCAGCAGGGATGAACATTTTGATTCCCTACTTAGTCTTCTCTGATCATCCAGCAGGAGTTCTGAGGTGCCTTGTTATAGGCTGGTGAGGTTGGATCCTTCAGTTAATCACTCAGCCTTTGCCAGCATGGGGATGGGGGGTGGGCATAGATTTGCTGTGGTGTTTAGCTGGAATAGACTAGATATTCTCTAAAACTTTTTATTTTATTTTATCTTTGGTCTCATTAGGCTGCCTTTTACTTTGGCTAGAGAGAACAGGGTTTTGTTGTGGCTTTTTTCTGTCTGCACAGATTTACATTAATTGGTTTCCAGCTTTATCACCTCCAAATTTTGTTCAAGGAAAAAATATACCCCCAAACGAGAAAATCATATCACATTTCATCTTTTGTTCTGTGTTCCTTAGATCATCTGTATTCTTCTTTCCACCTTTCAGAGTCTTATGTCTGTCTATCTATCTATCATCTATCTATCTATCTATCATCTATCTATCTATATCTATCTATCTATCTATTTAACATATAGCTGTCATCTGTCTGTATAGCTATTTATCTATTATATCATCTATCTATCACATTCAGGCTTTAAAATCATACTTAGGAATAGGGAAAAGTATGTCTACTTTCTTCCCCCAGAACCTGAAATCTGAAATCCATTTTTAAAAGAAGTTGCAGAACTTAAAAGTCAGGTATGTCGTTTATGTTCTATTTGTCCCTCTTGAAAAATAATCTGTGTTTAATCTTTGCCACAGAAAGTCGTCCTCTACAAATTGCAACTCCTGTGCTTCCATGACCTCTGGCTTCCCACCGAGTTTAGCTGCAGAATACACCTGCAAAAGACTTGGAATTCACAGGAGAAAAATGTTAGGGTGACTGTTTGCCTTGCTCCCTCACTAGCAGGCCATGGTTCTAGCAGTGACTCCATTGCCTGCCAATGGCCACAGCACATTCTCAGTATCAGTAACCCCACTTGCCACTCTTACTTAGGGGAGTGACAAGGCTAGTGCTCATAAAGCTTTCTCCTGACTGTTCTTGGTGCTTTCCCATTCCTTGTTGGTTTCTTTAACCATACCCAGAACTTTTAAATTAGTTATTTCCTAAAACTATCTATAAATATTTGTTTTCTGTTGGGAAACTGATTGACTTACCAAGAAACTGACTTTTTTTTCCCTCTGCCTCTTTTTGGAGCAATTGAAGGCAACCTCCAGCAGCTCTAGTTGATGTTGGTCAAATGCAAGCAGGAAGTGAGGAAAGGCATGTTAGTTAATATCCTCCAATAAATCTGTCACTGTATAACATGCCTAGGCCTTTTTCTTCAAGGTTCAGCTGATTCCCATGTGATCACTGACTAAGTTAATCATGTGAAGATCACATGGATCATGGGAGAAATATTATTAAACCCTTCCCAGTTAAACCTTGGGGAAGCCTTGCTCAAATTAGCCTTGTGGTTGAAGTAGCTCTAATTTGTGTAGCTAGACAAATAAATATGCAGTTATCAATACAAATATAGATGCAGTGGATGTAGGTATATTTATTATTGATTAAAGAGCTGATTTTTCCCTTTGTTTAACCTCTGCAGATATTCTAATACTGTCCTTTATTTATTCTTTCATTTTCTGATGTAAAGAAAAAATGCTCTGTGGTTGCTATCTTTGATCAGACTCATTTAAAAAATCATTTCATAGATTTGTCACTTCTCTAGTTCTCTTTTCTGTAGAATACATTTGGTCACTAACATTTCCTGTTCTTCTGCAAAATCTATTCTCTTTTTTTTTCCCAGTGATGAAGCCACTTTGCTGAATAAGGTGATGGGCGACTTGTAAGGAGATTTTAATGTGTACATTGGCTCTAGTTCATAAAAATGGTCTGCTGAAAATATGGACTATGTGTACAGCTGATTTTCATCTTAGGTAATAATGGGATTTTCATCTTTCGTTACTCTGGGAACTGAACCATAGTGCCATATTAAAATGCAAGACTGGTGCTAAGAACTTTGGCCAAATCAGTAAAACTGGTGAAATCCCCATCCATTTGGAATCTGTCTGTGTGCAAAACCACAGTTCAACTAGAGGACAACATAGAGGCATTAGCAGAACATATAATGAGGGTGACCTGGGGTTGCCACATATCCATTGGGTTTCAAAAGAATACTGTGATCCTAATTCTGTAAAGAAAGAGCTTATGAATGTAAGTTTGGAAGGCTGGGGAAAATAAAGCCGAAAGACCCAAGAGCTATTTCAGTTATTCTACATGTCAAATTGGCTGAGTCTCTTCACCTTTCAATCTCAGATCCTTTCTCTTAAAGGCACGCTTTATTTATATCCATTTTAACTTTTTATGAAAAATATTTTCAATGGCTAATCTATAATAATGTTAATATCGTCTCAAAAGATGAAATGATATTTTTTACTTTCATTTTGCAAAATGTTGATATTTCTTATGTATATACATCAGAACGAATCCACAATGTTATCCATTTATTTGTGTCATTTGGCAAGTATAAGCATATTCTAAATTTTTCAAAATGTGATGGAGTGATTAATAAACATAAAGTTATCTAGGGAAAAAAGCTAACACTTCTGAATTCTTACAGTCTTATGTTTATCATAAGTTTTTAGATATAAGCAAAAGTAGATAGAGAAATGTGACAAATGAGTGCAACTAATACTAATTCTTCCTCAGACAGGTGTTGCTTAGAAAAAAATTCTTGGGAAATGTAGGCTCGTCTTTACATGGAAGATAGTTGAACACAGAAAGAAGATGAGAGAGGATATTTCAGGCTTGTGGGGTTCTTGAAGAATTGCAAGGAGGGCAATTTAGGGGAGATAGCACTGAAGATGAAGCTGAAAAGGAGCACAGAGGCATGGTGTGGGTCTCTATATAGTCTGCAGTGATCCAGTTACATAAAGAGCATGACGTTGGAAGACAGAAGCAGTTCTAGGCCTGGATTCCTCACTGACGAATTGGGAGACTTACATTTTCCTTTAGTCTATCTGAGCATCAGTTTCCCCTGTTGTCAAAGAAAAGGGAATTGCATGAGATGTATGTTAGGATTTCTTATAGAACTGAAAATGTATTATTCAATGCCATTTTTCAGTAACCCATAGAGAAGTAATTAAGGGGTTTGAATTGGGAAATAATGAAATAAAAACAGCATTTCAAGAAAATAAAGTTGCCTTATTCTACTAAGTATATGAACAAGGAAGCCTGATGCATAGAAGCAATGATTCAGGGCTCAAAAATTCTCTCAACCCTATTCATTGTTTTAGCCATTGTTGAAGAGAAAATAAAAATATTTCCTCTGAAGTTTCTTCCCATCACATTTTGAAATAGAGAACATCAAAGAAGTCCTGCCTGCTTCATACGTTCCTTTTTTTTTTTTTTTGTCCATTTGTTATTAAATGAAGGTCTGTATTTTTTGGAGAAATGAAGCACAACTAACACAATAAGTGTACTTAAGACATCTATTCCAGTGAATGTGAGATGAAGCATCTATGCATTTCATCAGATTGCCTGACCCAGTGTGGCTCCCCAAGCACTGCAAGGACTTGGTGAAAATCTGAAGCTGACAAGGAAACGTCAAATAAGGTACAATCCAAGTAAATACCAGGAATGAAACATTAGCATTTGATCCAAAGCCTAGCCACTTCTTATACTGAAAATCTTTCTCTTTTTTGACAGCTCTTATTTGTGTTTCTCACACTTCTTATTGTTGACTGGTTCAGACACAGGGTGGATTGAATGACCATATCCTAGGGCCTTAGACTCGTCTACTTTGTCTAAGAGAGTCACATTATGGGATTTCTTGACTTTCCTTGTTGCTTCCAACTATTCCTTACTGTAAGGGGTGTCATAATCAGATGACTCTGTAGGATGACCATGAGACCACTGATAGAGTTTGCAATTGTCCTTTCTATGGCACTGTCTCTTGAAATAAAATGCCATCAAATTCTATAGTGGTTCAATTCTCGGCTTTGTTTTTTATGCTCCACTTACGTGATTTTTGAAATCTCTATCTTCAGGACAACAAAATTTTAAAATATGATGTCAAGCTGGCTTCATAAATAAAATCTTTAGCTTGATTGCCCCTTCTACGGAGAGAGAGGCTGAGGAGTTGCTACGGGTACAGGAAGTCAGTTTTTTCTGGCCTTCCTTTCCACAGGGCTTACCTTCCTTTTCTTGCTCCTAATGTGCCAGCCCAGCATGGCT
The DNA here is from genome assembly GCF_000001405.40 of Homo sapiens. Classification (NCBI taxonomy): domain Eukaryota; kingdom Metazoa; phylum Chordata; class Mammalia; order Primates; family Hominidae; genus Homo; species Homo sapiens. Next base: position 7,520,601 of record NC_000020.11, on the reverse strand, counting down.
ATGAGACCTAGCACTCTTCATGTTCGGGCTCGAGTGCCTGTGACTCTGACTCAATTGTAAAGAATTCTAATTCCCCACCACTGGATATGCTCTGATTGAGTCTTGCTGTTCAAGATCTAATAGCCCTCATGTTGTCCCTGGAATGATCACTGAAGATTATTTTTTTCAATCTGTGTGTTGGTTTCTGCCTCAGTTTCTTTGTCTGTTTTCTCAATTCTAAACTGCAAATGGTGTGAATGATTTCTCTGAGATGTGACCTTTCTCTTTAGCTCCCTCTCAGGTAAGATCAGACTCCTCTCTTCATCTTTCCACTCAAGGCTGTAATGTCCCTCCTACACTGGTGGATTACTGGCAATGCAGTGGCTTGTTGCTCACCTATCTACTCACCTCCACCATCTTACGCTACTGATCAGATCAACCTCTCACCAGTTCAAGCCAAGCCCAATTTTACCTGCTCTTCTTGTAAGCTCAGAACTGGAGACCATTTCTCCCCTTTCTCTCCTGCTCTGCTACTGAGGTCCCAGCCAGTGACCCCAAGTAGGTGGCCAAGTCCCCATGTGATCAATAACAGGTTAGTTTCTCTCCTCCCTATACATGTTATACCCCCATCTTAACCCTCTAATAATCAAGCATCTGTGACCATAGAAACACACTGCTGCTGTGGTTCTATAACTTCAGAGCTCTCTAGTGGGTTTTAGTGGAGAAAATAAATAAAACAGGGTGTTCTAATAGAATAGCAATTGAATTAAATAGATATTATATCAAATAGGGGTCTGTCAGTACAGACCACTTGATAAATAAGGAATTCCATAGAGAAATAAAAAGTTTAATCCTTGGTCCCCTAACTGTGGTCCTCATACCCTGCTTTGGAATCTGAATCAAAACGCACTCTCATCATGAAATGATGTTGGGACAACTGGATATTCACATGTAAAGGAATCAACTTGGACTCTTACACTGTTAAGAAAAATAAACTAAAGTGAATTAACAACCTATGTATAAGAACTAAAGCCATAAAACTCTTCAAAGAAAACATAAGGGAACTTCCTCATGTCTTTGGATTTGGCAATAAATTCTTATGTATGATCCCAAAAGCATGAACGACAAAATAAAAAAAATGGTAAGTTGACCTTCAGTAAATTAAAATTTTCTATCCATCAAAGGATATGATTAAGAAAGTGAAAAGACAACCTAAGGAACAGGAGAAAATATTTGCAAATCATATAGCTGAACAAGGTTAATAGCCAGAATATATAAATCATCCCTACAAGTCAACAACAAAAAGACAAACAATCAAATTGAAAAATGGGAAAATTATTTGAAAAGGCATTTCTCCAAAGAAAAAATACAATGGCCAACAAGCATGGCAATAATAATAATAATAACTGCTGGCAGTGATGGGGAAGTAAAATTGTCCTGCTGCTTTAGAAAGCAGTTTGGCAGTTCCTAAAAATGTTAATACAGAATTACCATATAAACTAGCAATTCCACTCCAAGGTAAGTGAAATAATTGAGAATAAAGGTAAAAACAGATACTTGTTCACTAGTTTTCACATCAGCATTATGCACAACAGCCCAACGGTGGTAACAACCCAGTATTCATTGACGGATGAATGGATAATCAAATGGGGTAGGTACACACAATGGAATATTATTCAGACATAAGAATGAATGAAACATATGATACCTGTGGCAATATAGATGAGTCTGAAAGAGATTATGCTAAATAAAATAAACCATATTATTCCACTTTCATAAAATATCTACACATAGGCAAATTCATAGAAACAGAAAGTATATTGGAGGTTATTAGGGGCTAGAAAGACTGACAAATGGGGATTGCCACTTATTGGGTATAGAATTTCTGTATGGATGATGAAAAAAATTTAAAAATAGATAGTGGTGCTGGTTGCACTACACTGTGAATGCAACTAAAGCCACTAAATTGTACACTGAAAGATGGATATAATGGCATATTTTCCATTATACATATTTTGCCACAATAACCTTTAAAAACTATTATATGCCCTCTGAACACACACTTACTTTGGGATGGATCAATCATTTATCTGTAGCTCTCATCTCTGTAACAGTAAAATTTAACAGTCATAAAGACTCATACACATTGTTCTGATTCGTCTTTGGTGCCCAGGGAGGAATCATAATTCCTCTTTTGTCTTGCCCCTCACTCTCACACCATTCTATTAATTTCTCCTTTCATAAATTCTCATGGAGCAATATCACTCTATACCCAAAAAGTGGCAATTCCCCATTTCTCACCCTTTCCAACCCTTGGTAACCTCTAATATACTTTCTGTCTCCATGAGTTTGCCTATGTGTAGGTATTTTATAAAAGTGGAATAATATAATATCTGGTTTATTTTACCTAGCATAATCTCTTTCAGACTCATCTCATGGAGCACAAAGGTGTTCAGCCTTGAGCTGGGCATCTGAGGAACTGGTAGAAAGGAGGATGCTGAAATGGGAGTATCAAAATGATCTTCGTGAGTTGTTACTCAGCTCAGGTCTCCTGGGGTCTCACTGGTACTTTGAATTCTATTTCTTATTTAACCCCAAGAAGACAGACTAAAGAAACAATGCAGGGAAATTGGAGTCAGGCTCCTCTGGTTTCTAAACAAATTTATGTACTGTTTGCTTCAGTTTTTGAGGGGCTGAAAAGGGACAGTTGGAGAGTGCAGATATTCTGTTGAAATCTTAACGTGACACATGATGGAAATTTAGTTTCTTTTACACTTTATTATTTTCTCCCAACACTAAGCCATCTTGGCACATTACTGGAGGTGGATGCTGAGATACAGCATAAATGCTGAATTAATTAATTGTAATCAGTGATACTGCAATGGATTCCATATGACACCAAGGTTTTTGGCAAAAACCCGGTTGTGTGCAGTTCTTCACAGCACTTGTAGATTAGTTGTTAAACAATATAGCCTGTGTTTGTGCCCTAGGATCCTTTTCTTGTGGTTCACAACATTTCCAAAGGGGAAATTGTAGAGCATAATATAGATAAAAGGAACTTGAATGAGTAGAGGCTGAGATATATTGGGTTCTTATTTTCCTGTGCTGTTTTATCCAGAAATCTCACCTTAAGAAGAAAAAAAGTACGTGAGAACCCTTTTACCAACTTGTCGAAACTTCAAAGATAAAAGCTTCCCCTTCAGAACAGGGGGCTTTCAGAAGGAGTTACTGTTGCTGCATTTTGGACAAACTCTAAATTACTTCCTACTCCCTGAACTCCAGCTTGAGGTATCTGGGAGATCATATGCTCATGCCCAAAGATGCTAGATAAATGTCAAGCAGACATGTTTGCATAATCATCATTACCTTTACAATAGTTCAATGTAATTTTTCCAAATGTTTCATTTATTTTATTCCAGAGATTGTGACAGTTAGAATTTTGAAGTACAAGCCTACATCTGTAATCCATTTATGAACTCTCTCCAGTGCAATCGTGAGGAGACAGAGAGGAAAAAACGTTGGTGGTTGGGGGGGGATTTATTTGGAGAAAAAAAATTGAAAAACAAGCAGAGGGAAAAAGAGCACATCTGTTTTCTTAAGAAATCATGGAACCTGGCCCCTTTTCAGTGGGGTATTTTACTACCACATGGCTTTAATCCTACATCTGGGCCTGTTGTTTTATGAAATATTTCCCACAGATGATGTCAATTATAATTTTTGTCCCGGTCGTCAATTTACGGACTCTTGGAATAAGACAAAATGAAACAACCAGAAAAAGAACAACTTATGTGGTCTACTCTCTGACAAAATTATAGCTGTGTGATACACATCTAAAATCAATAACTCTGCTAATGATTAGCAGAACACATTGCTTGGTTTATGAGCAGAGATGGGGCCCACACTGTGCACATGTTTGGCTCTGAGTTGCATTTTTTGTTTGCTGTGTATTTACCAGCAGATGTCTCGTCGTTCATTTAATGCTTCTTCTATGAGCCAGTAGTCAGCCCGTGTCTGTGCGACATTTATAAGTCATCTGCCAACAATACAGGTGGAATGCTTTTATGAAGCCTTTTTTTGTTCCTTCTGCAGTGATGATCTACCAGAGAAATCAGGGGTAATTCTTTATAGAGTTATATGGCTATTAAGATGTGGAGTTCTGATCTTGTGTGTAAAGTTTAAGAAATTTAGATTCCAGCATATGGTTTTTCAGAATCGCTTTGAAAGAATCATCTGTGGTGTTCAACTTTAGCAGCTGGTCTGAGGGCAAAAGGTTTTCCTACGAAACAAAGAAACTCCATTAGTCCTAAGTAGACCCAAAGTTTTGACAGAAACAGCTTCTCTTCTTATTTATAGGGACACTTTTAATTTAGGGAGATAAACTGAATTTAAAAAAAAGAACTTTCTTCATAACTACAAGATTTTGTAAGTAATACAAAGCCAGATAATTGGATACTTTTAAAATGTTTGGAGGGCAAAATTGTGCTGGGAAGATTCTGCCTCTTTTGGTCTGCCAGAGCAGGGACTAATGTTATAGAAGCCAGTATTCTGGCCATTATTTTTTTTTTTTAATAAGAAAGAAAGAAAAGGAAAGATGAAATAATTTCAGAATATTTTAAATCCTTATGATTAGTGTGTGTGTGTGCACATGTGTGCATGTGTGTTTGATATAATTATTTGAATTAATTTTGGACATTCAATGTTGATTTCAACATCCAAAGATTAATGTACATTTAATGATCTTTAATATTTATTAGTGAGACTTTTCAGATATCATTTTGTTTGTCGACAAGATCCCTCCATTTTGTCATACATTTCACTGTTGACTAGGTTGCCTTTGTGATTTCTGCTTTTCTGGGTTCTCTCTTAGGATTCCTCACTTTACCTACAACTGTCCTAGGTAGAGAGATCTAGGAGAGGAAGAGGCTGGGAATGAAGTTTCAGGCACGTGTGATTTATTAAAGGTGGGTCCTCAGGAAGCAGGAATGGCAAATTTAGCCAGGCCAGGGAGGGGAACTGAGCAAAGAAGTGGTATGATGTGCGTTCTGACTTTAGCCTGATCCCACAGCAGGCTGTGGAGAGTCAATTTCTCAATAACCTCAGTCCCAACTTGAGGCAAGAGAGCAGGGCAGGCACACATATACTGTCCTAGGCAGTGCTTCCTTCTCAGCCAAGGGCAATTCTCCAGAGAAGAGCTATGAATCTTTAGTAGCTAACACAGACAGCATGTGGAAGAAGGGTACAGGAATTCTAAGGAGGATGTGGGCAGGGCATCAGGAGTGTCCACTCCAATGACTAACAGTGTGAGTGAAAAAGATAGTCCAAAGGCAGATCTGTTGAAAGACACTTCTCCTTCATTGGCCAAGCCCAGAAGCATTTGATTGGAACTGCACAGATATGTTACCTCTTTCCAAGCATCTCCCCACTACAGACAACTGTGAAATGGTCTAGGAGACATAGATGGGGTTGCCCTGAGGCTCAAGACAATGAGTCTGATGGCTCACACACCGACAAATCCTTTCACTGTTGCTGAATGGTAAATTGTTCTGCCTTATAGCATGTACTCTTTTAAATTGGCAATACTTTTTCATGCAAAACCAGGTTAGGGCTTATTGTGTACCTTGAGAAGGAGAGTATGAAATGATACCCTCACAAAATCCTTTAGAAAGACAGCACCAAGTGTAGTTACAGCAGAATTAATTGCTCGATATAATTTCAAAGGAACTGTGAGATAGACTCATTTGGGCCAAATGTCTTATCCACTGTGCTAGAATTTTCAACACTCCAGATATTTTTTACATGAGTTAAGGCTTTGTTACCTCAACAGTACGCTTTTTAAATAGACATGTCATGGGTAGAATTATTATAACTGAGCACCCAGGTGGGCAGAGTGAAATAAATATTGTAGGGTTCTGTGGACCTGGGCACTGTTCTCAATTCCTGAAGCTGGGGAAAATTTCCATATTTTATCTGTGTGCTTATTTTATTATATTACTTCAAGTTAAAAACTTAGTTATTATGTTTAAAACAGCTCATTATAGCTAGTCTTATGGTTGTGAGAATAAAGTATCTACCTTCCCCCCTATTTTTTATCAACCAGAATTTTCAAAAGAATTGTCTGCACTCTTTTTCTCCCCTCTCTGGCCACTCTCTCACTCACCGTTTCATTTTCACATTTTGTATTTATTGTTTACTCTTTCAGAAGACATTTAACTGGCCCTGCGTTAAGTGCTGGATTTGTCAAGTGTAAGAAACAGCTTCCAAGCAGATAATCATGACATAATGTTACCAAGCTGCAATAGAACTCAGTATAGAAATCTAGAAAAGAAAAATGGAAACAATGCTAAGACAGAGAGCACTCAAATTTAAGAAGGGCACAGAAAGATGAGGAGAATTTTTCCGAGGAATGAAGAAGAGGATGGCAAAAATCACATGTGCAAAGGTGCAGAATCATAAGAACAAGCCACAAAACCGGACACAACATGGAGGAGGCAGAAGATGAAATCGGTAGAATAGCTTAGGAATAAACCATAAAGGATCTTTTGAAAGGGCAAAGGTATATGGGCTTTCTTTCACGAAAATTGTGGAATAGCAAAGGCATAGAAATTGATCTGTTTTCAGGGTGATGATTCTGATGGTTTTCTGGAGTCAAGCAGGAGTTAGCACACTTCGAAAGCCTTACTGGCATGCAGCCACACCCGTGCACTTACAGATTATTATGCCTGCTCTCTCATTGCAAGAACAGACTTGAGTTCTTACAGCACAGAACTTATAGCCTGCAAAGCCAAAACTGTTCACTCTTTGGCTCTTTACAGAAACAAAGCTTGTGGACCCCAGCATCAGAGTTAGGAGAGGTTTATTTGCTGAGATACCTACCAGAAAACTTCTGCAATATCTGTGGACATGGGGAATTGAGTGGATGACCCATGGCTCTAGTAGAAGGATCCAGGGGAGGTGACAGATTCAGGAGATATTCCCATGATGAAATTTAAAATATATGTTGACTAATTGGATATTGGAGGATGAAGAAGGGGGCCAAGTGTGATTTCCAGATTTTCAACTTGGACAATGAATCTGGTAGTTGATCATGATGATAATCGTAGAAAGAGGAAGAAATTAGTGGAAGGAAAGGGGAGAATAAATAACAAGTATAATTTTGGACACGTTGAAAGTGAAGTGTTGAGGAAATACCCCAGAGCTAATCAGTGGTTGGCAGTTGGATAAATGAGTCAAAAGAGATATAGATTTGGGTTCCCTTGGGTTTCCTTTGCTACATAAGTGCTCCCTGCCTCACCAACACTATCATTCTTCTACAATATTCTATACAAATCTTTATTATAGCATTGCTATATTATGTTGCAATTATCTGCTTGGAAGCAGTTTCTCACATTTGGTTATGAACTATTTGCACATAGCACTTAATGCAGAGCCTGTCAAACAAATAGAATACAGAAAGAAGATTCTACCATCTCCCACTTATGATCTCATATGTGTTCTCATCCATGTCCTCAGCTTTAATTACAATGTCAATGATTCACAAATATATAGCTCCAGCCAGACTCCATCTCTGTATGACATCTGTCCTTTTTCAATGTCCTCGACATTTTGCATACCTCCTCCTCTTCCCATTATAATTATTCTGTGTTTTGTCAATCCTGCCTTTCCCAGGTAGAATTCCCAGCCTGCATGTTCCATGTCCCCATGCTGTTGATGTATAAATGTGTGTGACTGGCTCCCACCAAGCCTATCTTTTATCATGGCATGTGAAGGTCTGTGAGGATATTGCAAGGTTGCGCAGTTTTTGTGCTAACTAAGGTGGTGGATATCTTTGCTTCTCAGAAACAACTGTAGCAGAGGTTCTGGTTTCACCTTCTGGCTGGGTGACTATAAACACTCAGTGGTAAGCACCATGGAGTTTTTCTGAAATTTCCCTGGACCGGGTCCCTATTAATTGTGTGGCATTCAAGCTTGGCTTCTTGACTTCCAAAAATTTTGGCAAGTAATTAAAGCTCATGTACCCTTTCTCTTGAGCCAGAATATCTATAACTGATTTTTCATTTATATCACCTCAAATTTAATCTCTAATCTTGTTTATGCCACAGATGACCTCACTCATTGTGATCCATCTATATTCAACTTCTTCGGGTCCCTCAAACTCCTTCCCAGCCCACCACAGGGCCTTTGTGCCTGCTTTTTCCTATGGTCTGGGATACTTTTCCCAACTACCTATTCCCAAACCCAATGCATCATTTAGCTTCTGCTATTTTTGTATACCTCATCTTAGCTATTACTTGTTCTGAAATTTATCTGATCCTCCTGGTTGCATCAAACTTCCCTATGAAGATCTTTTATGTACGGCTACTTATCTTAATTGTAATTTTCATTTAGGTGTATGGCTATTGCATTAATACCTCTCAGTATTTTACACTGTAAGCTCTGTGGGAGCATGCTTACTAATTTATCCCCGGAATTTAGAATAATACCTGGCACATAGAGTTGCTTCATAAATATTGGTTGTTTTGATAAGTGGTAAAGATTTTTAAAGAGTTCAAACAATTGTCATTGCTTTAAGTTTCTGTTATTTTAATCTTAGGAGGACATTTAAGAACTCTTTATTCTTGTTTTACAAATAAGTTTATGTGTGTATATACACATGATGATATACATCTTACATCTCTGGTCAAGATTATCAGGGTAAATAATTTGAAATCACAGAGAGTCAAAAAATGTTTATAAATAGATATGTTCTTCCTTTAAGGTTATGCATAAGAAAGATACAACTATATATTTTTAAAATTTTATTTTAAAAAATATAAATTATATATATTTATGAAGCACAATGTGAGGTTTTTATATATTTATTACATTATGGAATTAATAAATCAAACTAATGTAACTGTCACCTAATGTACTTGTTTTTTTGAGGGTAAGAGAGTAAGATGTATCTATATCTTGAGGTGGTATGCAGGACAAATTAAGAAGAGGTAATAGTGGTGACCTACTATGGGCTGGAGGAGGGAGAGTACATAAATTAAAAAAAGAGAACATGATTGACATCTAAGCCACTGGAGAATAAACCGACTAGTAGTTTCTCTTTAACATACATGAAAAGCATTATTTATAAGATATATTTTGAAGGAAACTCTCATGTTGGTTGATTCAATTTCTAAAACAAAGGCTAGTTTAATACAAATAACCACCATCTAGTTTGTCTGCTTGGGGATCTCTGAAGACTAAGGACATCTACATTTGTGTGGTTACAAGAGTTCCAAACTCATACCCTTTAAAATTTTTTTTTAAAGATCCAATGTTGTCCTATCACATATAGTCCCATCTCTTGCACTACATTACATTACAAAAATATCCTGAACACATTAAGTCACGTATATATTTTGAGTTTTGGGCTCTACTCGTATCTTGATCTGAAAGTCTATGCAGATAGAAGAGACATTGTTTACTCTGAGAGTAGCACTGGGAGGTCTGGTTTATCCTTTCACTTTCCTCCTTAAGTGTAATGAAAACTTCCCAGATGAGTGACAAATACTCATATAACCAGACATAAATTTAGAAACAAGTGGGGGAAAAATGACTTTAAACCCACTTCGAACTGTCCCAAGACATTAAGGGGTGTGCAGTGCATTCACTGGAATTAGTAAAATTTGAACCGGGAATATTTACTTACACTCAAGAAATATGGTGGTGAACCCCTTGATCAAAAGAGATGACCTTGAACACTGTTCCCTAAAGAAAAAAAAATTTATTATAAATTATACTTACTTAATATTTATTATCACTAGTAATGTCATCAGAGCCAGACTTAATTCCAGCAAAAAGGTCCGGAGTTAGGGAAGTTTTGCATTCTTTTGTCTATTACAGGGGGACATAAAACAGAGTGAAGCTTATACAACGGCTTACATACATCATTTTATTAAAGAAGGGCCAATTTGGACATATTAGGGATTTGTCATTTGTCTTGGACTATTTACCAAATGCCTTGGAGTTGGAAAACACTAAACCTAGTTTGATTGTGTGTTTTTTCCTTAATTTTTAAGCCCGAGTGATTCCTAGGAAAATTTCATCCATATGTTTCAGAATCGTTTACACTTAGCTCATCAAAATGTTTTGTAACAACTATTTGATGTTCAAGATGTCTTTTAAAGACACTTTTCTTAGAAACAGGAAATTGTTCTTTGTTTTGATATTGTGTGTGTGTGCTTCTTTTCGAAGGATAAACAACCTAGGAACCCAGAAAGAATAAAACAGACTTTAAAATTTTTACCAATTCGGGTTAAGCCGATCCTGTACCCAAAGAAAAGCACATTCTAACGGTTAGAATTTTATCATAGTTTATTGACTTAGAGTACTGGTATCCAGGATTCAAATCAGCTAATTAACATCAAACAGATATTCAATGATTGTTCTAGAAAACTATAAAAGCAAAGCTGTTGTTGAAAGACATAGAAAACACAGTATAATCATAGACAGAATACAAATATTGTTAATCATGATTTCCTAATAAAGGCACCAATCTTTATTGGTTTTGTAGAAGAGTTCTAATAAATACTAAATAATAAAATGGGCAAGATATATTCAAGAAATCTCCAGAAGGATAAATACACAATGCTAATAAGTATATAAAAAGTTATACAACTACACTAATATTCAGCAATACATTTTGCATATTGCTGGCAATTGTCTGGGGAAATAGGAAATGTCATATGTGGTGTTACTATAAACTGGTAAAGTTTTTATCAAAGGGAATTTGATATTATTAATTTTTTAAAAAAGAAAGTGGCAGTCCCCCATTCTGGTTGTCCAACCTAGAGCAATTGTCGTAAGCATAAGAAACATTCCCAAAAATATACATTACAACATTAACAGTGAAATAAAGTGTTTCGTAATAACAGTTGTCATAAAGGCAGGGGAAACAAAATTATTTAAGAGATCGAACCAGTAGAGGTCTCAAACATGAGAAAGAGATTTCTGGAAGAACTTTGTCAGGGAAAGGCTATCCCAAGGGCTTTTTATCATATTGTTTTTAGAGAAAAATATTCTCTCCATAAAAAAAGCTTACACTAAATTGAAACATTGGGGGAAGGAATGCTGCTACCAGGAGGTCCTGGTAGGGCCGCTTGACACCATGATTCTAAGAAGTCCCTTGCTTTTTTTTTTTCAACGTTTATTTTAGATTCAGAGGGTACATGTACAGGTTTGTTATAAGGGTGTATTAGGTGATGCTGAGGATTGGGGAGTGATTGAACCCAACACTTAGAGATGTAGTTTGGATGTCATCACCTGTAAATCTCATACTGAATTTTAATCCTCATTGTTAGAAATGGGGCACAATTGGAGGTGTATGAGACATGGGGTAGATCCCTCATGGCTTAGTTCTAGTTCTCGTCCTTATGATAGTGAGTGAGTTCTCATGAGATCTGATTGTAAAATGTGTGTGATACTTTCACTCCCCAACCCTGCTCCATCTCCTGCCATGTGACATGTCTGCTCCGGCTTTGCCTTCTGCTGTGAGTAAAAGCTCCATGAGGCCTCCACAGAAGCTGAACAAATGCTAGCACCATGCTTGTACAGCCTGCAGAACCAAAAGGCAATTAAACCTCTTTTCTTTATAAATTGTCCAGCCTCAGGTACTTCTTTATGGCAATGCAAGAATGGCCTAATACACACAGTTTTGGGTACTGTGCAGATAGTCAGCATAGTACCCAATAGGTAGTTTTTCAATGTTTACTCTCCTCCCTGCCTCCCCTATCTTAGTCTCTCGTGCCTATTGTTCCCATCTTTGTGTCCATGAGTACCCAATATTTAGCTCCGACTTATAAGTGAGAACATGCAGAATTTGCTTTTTTGTTACAGAATTTTCAAAATTTTTTTTTTAGAATTTTGTTTCTGTGTTGTTTATGATGATGGCCTCCGGCTGTATCCATGTTGCTGCAAAGGACATGATTTCAGTCTTTTTATTGCTGCATAATATTCCATGGTGTAAATATACCACATTTTCTTTACCTAATCCGCCATTGATGGACATCTAGGTTGATTCCATGTCTTTACTATTGTGAATAGTGCTGCAATAAACATGGGAGTGCAGGTGTCTTTTTGGTAGAACAAATTACTTTCCTTTGGTTCACCTGCATTCAAACAGGGGTCCTAACAAGTTAGTGCTGGTGTTTGTTGTCTTCTAGAGAGTGGCTCACACACCAGAAAAGCATCTCTTTTTTCCTCTCAAACCATGGAGACTTCTCCCAGTGCAGGAATAATAAAAATCACTGTATTTTCCCATTGAATCTTCAGAGAGTGGAACCACCTCTTAACAGTACTTGGAGAGTTGGAAGCTTGCACTTCCTATATCAGCCATTTGCTGATGTACTGACATACTGAAAGTGCTTTGGGACAAGGATCACTGAAGCTTCACTAACATCTTCCTACCACCAAGATTTAAAATTTGATCAAGAATCAATCCATTTATAGATCTTCTCCTGGGATCAGATACCTGGCTGATGACTAAGAAAAAACATTTTACCCTCCACCTCCAATATATCACCTGGTGGTTTAAACCTTACCCACTACATTTGATAAACATCAGGCATCCCGGGGATGCTGAAAAAAGCTCATTTTCTTTCTTTTTTCTTTTTTTTTGAGACAGAGTATCGCTCTGTTGCCCAGGCTGGAGTGCAGTGGTGCGATCTTGGCTCCCTGCAACATCCGCCTCCTGGGTTCAAGCGATTCTCCTGCTTCAGCCTCCCGAGTAGCTGGGACTACAGTTGTGTGCCACCATGCCCAGCTAATTTTTTGTATTTAGTACAGACGGGGTTTCACCATGTTAGCCAGGATGGTCTCGATCTCCTGACCTCGTGATCCACCCACCTTGGTCTTCCAAAGTGCTGGGATTACAGGCGTGAGCCACTGTGCCTGGCCCAAAAAGATCATTTTCTTTAAAAATAAAATAGCTCTTTGATTTTTGTGAAGGAAGGCTACCAATCTGCCAGCATGGAATAATTAATTCTAAGTCTATAGCAATGGGTGTAAGTATTTGGGAGACTTTTATAAATAAAATAATTCGCCTTTTTAGAAGGTGTGCTTTTGTTAACTGCAGTTCAGCCACAGTGGCTTTGAACAAACCAAGATGGACCTTACTTAATGCTGGAGCCATTATAGAGTGGCCTTTAAGAGTAGCAAGGCGGCTGGGTGAGGTGGCTCACGCCTGTAATCCTAGCACTTCAGGAGGCTGAGGTGGGAGGATCACAAGGTCAAGAGATGGAGACGATCCTAGCCTACATGGTGAAACCCTGTCTCTACTAAAATACAAAAAAATTAGCCAGGCATGGTGGTGTGCACCTTTAGTCTCAGTTACTCAGGAAGCTGAGGCAGGGGAATCGCTTGAACCAGGGAGGCAGAGATTTCAGTGAGCAGAGATTGTGCCACTGCACTCCAGCCTGGCAACAGAGCGAGACTCAGTATCAAAAAAAAAAAAAAAAAAAAAAGAAAAGAAAGAAAGAGTAGCAAGGCTATAACCAGGCTGCAGGTGTCTCAGAGTCAGCTCCACTACTCTCATGCTGTACTAAGTTACTGGGCTAAGCTTCAGTTTTCTTATTTGTAACAAAGAGGCCATGTTCACTGCAGAGCCATGTTAAAAATCACAGTAGTAAATATACAGTGTTTAGATAGTGCTTGGCATAGTGAGAAGGTTGCAAGGGCTATTCCCATCATCAGCAATGTTTTGCACTGAGATTGTTGCATCTTACTCTCCATGGCATCATTCATGTCCTGCTCAAATGTCATCTCCTCACAGAACCACTCTGATCCCCTTTTCCAAATAACCCCACAAATTGTGTAAACTTCCTATTCCTTGGCCCAGTTTCAGGGCAATTATTATTATTAGAATTTAAGTTTTATGTTTATTTGTTTATTATATCTTCCACTCTCTCCAAAATAAACCCTTGAAGATAGGATCTACTGTTTACTACAGATTCTAATGTGGGTTGTCGTGGAATCATGGTATTGAATTTTAGCTCTTTTCCATCTGCTTTTCTTTCAACCTGTGTGGTCCATCCGCTCAGGGCTTAATACCAAGACTAACTATAAAATACGGGGAAGAGGCCGGGTGTGCCTGTAATCCTAGCACTTTGGGAGGCTGAGGCAGGTGGATCATGAGGTCATGAGTTCGAGACCAGCCAGGCCAACATGGTGAAACCTTGTCTCTACTAAAAATACAAAAATTAGCCAGGTGTGGTGGCACATGCCTGTAATCCCAGCTACTCAGGAGGCTGAGGCAGGAGAATTGCATGAACCCGGAAGGCAGAGGTTGCAGTGAGCCGAGATCACACCACTACACTCCAGCTGGGGTAACAGAGTCAGACTCCATCTCAAATAAAAAAAAAATATATATGGGGAAGGGGGCTGTGGTTTCCGACGTACCTTCAAATAAAGAACAGTGATGTGAAGAACCAAACACTTGACCAATGGGACCTCCCAGCCCATTCTAAGAAATGGCATGGGAAAATCAATCTAAGGAATAATGTGCTGGGAAGTCTGGACATGCCACTGCGTGTGCGAGAGCCCAGAGGTCATGTGGGCACTTGGAAATGCTGACCTGCACAATTAGCATCACAAGCATTTTTGTGGTCATTAAATACACATGACATATTGAAGAGGACACATTGAAGAAAATTACTGTAATGAATGATGAGCTTGGAGTTTAAACAGCAGATCATCCCTGGATCATCTGTCTCCAGGGAATGAAGCTGGTGAGCTGAGGCCCTGTGGTGTTTAAATAGCAGATCATCTCTGGATCATCTGTTTCCAGGGAATGAAGCTGGTGAGCTGAGGCCTTGTGTTTAAATAGCAGACCATCCCTGGATCTTCTATTTCCAGGGAATGAAACTGGTGAGCTGAGGCCCTGTGGTGGAACACAGACACTACACTCTGAACCCCGGAAGCAGGATTCTTTCTTTTGAGAACTGTTATTCAAAGCTACTTGAAAGTTAATCTCTAAAACCAAAAACCACAAAACTACTCTTTCCATGGAGCAACTCAGGTGAGAACTTAAAAACAAATATTTTAGGCACAGACATTTCCTTAAAGTTCATGTATTTCCTTAAGTCTATTCTATTCTACTTTGTCTTCCTAATCCATCATTTGTGTTTGTTTGTTTCCGTAGATTTAATTAAACAAACAACATATGGCTAAAAATTAATTTTGGCATGTCTCAACGTGGACACCTGGAATCAGCTAGCTGACTCATTACTAAAAGAAAAGATAACAGTTTCGAAAAGCTAAAAATAATAATTGAAAGACCCACCTATCTCAAAGTGAATGTTAAGAAAATACATTTTTTAAGAAAGGAAGTGATGAATATACCTATAGCTAATATTATGGGTGAACCTGACAAATAGAATACTGAGTAAAAGAAAATATAAAAAGTACATCCTTTAGAGTTTTATTTCTATAAAGTTCAGAAACAGGTTAAAAGTAATTATGGCATTAGAAGTTAGGCTCCTCTTGGTGGCAGCAATTACTAGAAATGAGCGTAAGTTAGGCTTCTAAAGTCCTCAAAACATCCTCTACTTTCTTTTTAAGGCAGTTGCTGAATAGCAGAAATATCTGTTCTTTTGAGGATCTATTAAGCTGTACACTTACAATTTGTCATTTTGTTTAGGGTTATTAAAGTTTATAGGAGGCCATTGTTTTGGACCAGCCTCCTGCACTGGGCTCCAGCAGACCAGACCCAACCAGAATGAAGTCGTTTGTGCTAATGCCATGTAATCAAACTTAACTTTGAAATGAGCCAGTTTTCAAAAAACCAGGAGATTCCAGTCAACCCTGGTCAGCATAATAAGGACGTTTCCTCTGTTTTAATCCTACAAGGAAAGTAACTTTGAAACCAACAATCTGCTTTTTGTTCTGTTTCTACTTGCTTCAGCCCTTTTTTCTCTATAAGGTCAACCTTCTCTGCTGAGCTCATTGGAACACCCGTTCTATTTTATAGAATGTGATATTGACAAATTCTAGAATTTCAAATAAAGGCCAATTATATTTTAAACTAAATTGTTGTAATGTTGTCTTTTAATAGGTTTCTCCTGAAATGTTCAAAAACTTATGGTATCCAGCTTGCCCTTAAGAGAAGTCTTTATTCTTCCAACCGCATTGAACTCATCTTGGTGTTTATTGAAAATACAGATTCCTGGGTCTAATTTATTGAATCAGATTCTCTGGGGTGGAGTCTATCAACCCCAATAATTAAGCATTTCCTTGGGCAATTCGGGGACATACTCAAGGTTGAGAATTCAGTAGTGCCTATTTGGTCAAACTGTTCCACAACACATGTTTGGTTACCTTCAGCAAATACTTAAAGCATGGCCCGTGTAATAGCTTCCTGGGCCACACGGTTCCTCATCTTGCCTGAATTCCTCCCCCTGCACCTTTTGAGAACTGCTACCTATGATGTTAGCAGTTGTCAGACACTACACTCTCATTCACTGCACCAGCCCCTTCACCCAGTGAGTCTGAGATGTTGACAAACCATCATTTACAAATATTTTTAAAATCATTTATAAGGTAACTGCCTCCCTCACTAATAAAAGTGGCAAATTAAATGAAAATTTGATCCCCATAATATCTTGCCTTGTTCTTTTAAGTAGACACTCAAAGGGGGATGGAGGGTAAACCACTGGCTTTAATGAGACAGTTGGGTGAAAAAGAAAAAAAAATAAGTAGGAAATGGTACCCAGGGCTTCTGGTATTTTTATCTTAGCAGCAAGGGGAAGTTTTGATAAGAAGAGGCCCTGTCTTTGTTCTACCAGGATCCAAGCATTGCATCACCATCTCCAGAAGCTGCTGCCTTGTGTGTGCCAGATGATAATTTGGGCATAGGCACAAATCAATACCAGGAATGGGTGTGCTGGGAGCGTGCACTGTAAGTACTGTGAGTATAAATAGAGCTGGAAGAACAACCTTTTTGTGAACTACTGTGTGGTAATCCTCGGGAAGCCAGGAAGCTGGTATGGCTTCAATGGGCCTTTTATAACGTTACATGCTACCCCCCAACTGCCCTCCTACACACACATGGACTGCTTGCTAAAGTTACCATTTTTAATGCAAATCATCATAATGGCTTGATAATTATTTCAATTGGCATTTGTGAAGCCATTCAGTAAAAGAACAGCCAGGGCAAAACCCTCACTAATCTTCCCATCTTTCATATCCTCTGGGTTTGAGGTGGAATAACACAAGAAAGCCCCAAAGCCAGAGGGTTTTTGAAGTTTCTTCTTAATGGACCTAACTCTCCCTGCCTGTTACTCTATGAAGTGTATTCGGCCCAAGTTAAACAAAATAGCAAGAGCATAATATTTGTGGTGGCTTGAAAGGAGAGGAGGCAATGACAAGCGTCCCCTTCCTCCTCAGCTTAGCTTTCAGATTGGTTGGAAAGCACTTTAACACATTGTTGTTATTATTGCGGAAAATAATAATAAACATTTATTGAATGCTGTCATATGGTGAGTAACTGTTCTAAAAATGTTTTGTCCGAGAGGAGCTTATTAAAAAATAACTATTTAGGTTTTTTACTTTTCCATAGAGGATGACTTTTTAACTCTTTCACTGGCCCTTAGGGGTGCACAGTGTATTCATATGCTGCAAAATGTAAAGTACTGGTCTCCTACAAGGCCTGTCCCTGACTCTTCCTCTTACCTGCAGTCTGTCATGATTAGAGTCTGGCAGCAACTCATAAATGAGAAATTTAAGACATTGCCGCTTTGTGGAGGGGAAACAAAGCTGGAAAGAATGACTAACTAAAATTTCTGTTTGAAATTGCTTTTCTCCCAAATCAGGCAAAGAGAACTAATACATGTCAACATTACTACAAAATATTTTTACAAAGGAAAAGCTGGCTGAAGGTTGTCTTTTTTGTTTTTTGTTTTTTGAGACAGAGTCTCACTCTGTCGTCCAAGCTGGAGTACAATGGCACAATCTTGGCTCACTGCAACCTCCACCTCCCAGGCTCAAGGGATTCTCCTGCCTCAGCCTCCCCAGTAGCTGGGATTCCAGGCGTGTGTGACCATGCCTGGCTAATTTTTTGTTATTTTTAGTGGACGGGGTTTTACCATGTTGCCGAGGGTGGTTTCGAAATCGTGAGCTCAGGAGTTCGCCCACCTTGGCCTCCCAAAGTGCTAGGATTACAATACACGAAGCTTGCTTGCTAGACTGATGGAACTATGTGTTGTGATTAGTTCTATGTTCACTCCTTAAACCTACTAGTGAGCCCTATTTGGAAAGCTGGCTTCTAACCCTTTACGTGAGAACAAATCACTAGCCAGCCAGTTCAGTGGGTGGAAGATCAATCAGCTAATTTGGAAACAATAAGTTTAAGTAGTAGTTTTTTGTCTTCACTTAATAGAAGATAGGATGCTTGCTATTATTATTAAAAACCTATATTAATATATGTTTTAGTCTCTGAACGGCTCAATAGATTGAGGTGTTTTCCAAACTCACTCCACACCAGTCTTCTCTTTCCACTAAAGTGACTTGGTTCAGCAGAAGTGTTTGATTTTTACGGCAGTAATCTAGATTTGAATAGATCCTTCCTGAACCTAAGGTTCATAAACCTCCAAAGGGTCTGTGAATAGAATTCAAGGGTTCTATGCACTTGAATGGAAAAAAAATCTTTATTTTTACCATACTCTAAATGAAATTTAGCATTTCCTTCAATTGTTAATATAGGCAGCAAACCACACTTTAAAAGGACTCCTGATATTGTCATCTCATAGAATGGTGGTTGTAAATATCTCAGAATATCATTAAGTACATCCAGACTTTGAAATTATGATAATTATTATAATACTTTAAAATATTTATATTTAACATAGTAATGAATCAGCATATAACATATAAAATATATTTGAATATATCATGTTTTAATATCTTGATGACTATATTTCAGTGTAATTGCTTGTTTGTAATCCTATGTACTTTATTTTATGCATTTAGAAACATGATTTTGAGATAGATCCATGGGCTTTACCTGACAACATGGGTCCATGGCACCACAAATGTTTAAGAACTCTTGGTAGTCTCTAATGTGGCTACTGATACAGAAACTAAATTTATTTCATGGGGCAGCCATACAACTCTGGCTGTACAGTAAAGTCAAAACAAAAAGACCCCAGGCAATGGAGAATCCTAACAAATAACCACAATGGTCAGGAGAAATCTGCATGGACCAATTTAAGTAGTGGTTCTTTTGCTTCCTCAACTTGCATTGTGCAACTTCAGGACTGGCCTGAATGTCAAGATGACAGGAACACCCAGATACAATGAAAAGACGGAGCCAGATGATTCTGGAAAGCAAATAACAGCCAAATGTATATTGTCACTTTGATGCTTAATTGGGCAACATTTATTTCGGAACAGAAAACAATATTTGGTAATACTGTTTACATGGTAAAACTGGCCTACTTCTGACATAAATTCATCTGCCTTTGGATCATTCATTAATTTCAAATGAACTCCATGCCCAGATGACTTTAGTGGTATATTGGAAGAACCAAGTCTTAGTAAAAAATAAAAATTGTAAAAAAGCAACAACAGTTTGGGCAACTATGCCTTTTCCTAAGTAGGTCATCTAGATTGTTGGCCAGCACTGCAATAATTTACTTTGGTCTTAATGGAACCTTAAATAATTCTGTACTGGAACCGTTTGTGGGTTCTCTGAGAGTATGATTTTGTCCATAACATAAGCCCATAATTATAATACATCATATGTCACAATAGTCTGAATTATTGTTGACAACATCAAATGTCAGGAGGGATCTGGCAGAAAATAGAATTGAATGTGAGTGGAGTAAGACTGTTAGTATAGAAGGATTAAAGCTATACTAAGATATATAGCTTGTTAGCAGTTAGTTCTAGATGAGAACAGGTGCCTCATCTAAAGAGCACAGCGTTACCTGCACCCTCCATGGGGTTGCTATGTTAGGAGTGCAAACCTGCTGTTGCTAAATCTGCCAGCAAATCTGGAAAAGCTAAAAATGAGATGAGGTTTTAGTGTGAAGCCACCTAGTGTTTAGAGGAATTGACTAGTGCAATTATTTTCAAACATTCTTTGAGATGAGCAAGGGTTTCTAAAGATTGAATCTTACTCCTGGGTCATGAACTCTTCTGTGCAGATACTACTCACTCATACAGTGAACCATCAATGAAAATGAGAAATGGGATTTGTTTTCAACACCTCCTACTAATCTGTAGAGGTAGAGGGAAAGCATCCTCACTGCTTACGGATGGTTCACTGAAAATGAGCTGATAAAAGGTGGATTAATAGGAGAAAAATGTTTACAAAATTTATTAATATGCATGAGGAAAAAATCACATGAATGTGATTACCCAATAACTCAATGAGGTCCAGATGCTTATAAATCCTACTTAATAAGGGAAGAGGAGATGGAGGGTGAAATGATTTTAAGGGTAGACTCATGAGCCTAAAAAAAATGGGCTGGAACGAAGTTCTTCAGTGCTCTGGGAGAGGTGATGGGAAGATGAAGGGCAGAACTTCATTGTGAACAAAAGTTGTCTTATTATACAGATAATGCCTCACAGCTAATCTCTGGAACTGTCCTCAGAAGAATAGATGAAAACTCTTGTCTGGGTTTCAGATACCATGAAACTGAGTCAAAGGTTGAATTCATCTTTATAATCCCTGGATTTTTGCTAGAGGATCTCTCTCTCTCTCTCTCTCTCTCTCTCTCTCCCACCCAATCCCCCTTCTTAAATGAAATCTCTTGTCTTATTATATCCTCATGGAAATATAATTGGGCTGTATTAAACAGAGATAGGAGAAAAGAGAGAATGCAGGCATTATAGAATTTTTACTTGCCCTCATCTTATCTTTGTCAAGTTAATTTACTCAGAACTCATTATTTTAAAAGCTAGCATGCCCCATTATTGTGAATAAATAGAGACTTATTTTTCCATAAGACTACATATAATAACTAAAATAAAACATGTTATGTGTATTTATTATCAACAAGGTCTTAACTCCAGCTGTCTTTCCATCATGATCATGTCAGCCTTCCATCTGCCTTTCCCAAGTCATACAACCATACTCTTCCTCAATTCCTTACCCCTCCTCATTCAACAGTTTTCTTTCTTTCATCTGTTTTTCTTGACTCATATCCTTATTTTCATCAGAATCATACACCTGCTCAAATTCAGAAGGCTCTTCTCTTTCACAACCAGCTGTGTTCTCTGACTAATATATGAAAAAATCCTTGCCTAGGAAATGGTTCATACCTGACTCAATTTCATTTTTAATTATATTTTCAGGTTGCCTTTCATGGAGATATATTTCTTTCCAATACAGATGTGTCCAAGTGGTTTATCTATATATGAAAGTGATTGACATGTAGGCTGGGTAATCTCTCTTTGTCCTTCTGGATTCACCCCTACCTTGTGTACCCTACTCTGCCACAGGAGGCTGACCAGAATGGACAGCATAAACCAGGCTCCTTTGCCCTGTATCCTCAGTTGTATTGGAGCAATGGAAGCCACAGGTAAGAAACTCTCAATTGTTGGGGAGAGAGAACACAGGTTGATGGTGGTCATTTCCTTATCAAGGGCCTCAAGTGTGTGCCTTCATGTCTAAGGTTCTGGAGGCTTCCCTGCTATTTCAACCTGTTGGGTGTTTCATCTTCCCTGTGATTTCCCTTATCCACATTTTTATACCTTTGAACTGTTCATTTATTAAATCCCATTTACTTTGCCCTATTTGAGTTTCTGTCAGGACCCTGGTGACACAGTGAGGAAACACTCTCAGTGCATGGTAGATGTATCCTGTAAATAAGAGATCTAGATCTAGACTTAAGCCCTAATTCCATTTTTTTCTTGTTAAGCAAGATTTTTTGTTATAAAGTGGGGATACAAATCCTGATCTCAAAGAATCATGAGAATTAGAGAGAGAAAACGATAATGGTGGTGGTGAGTACATTGTTTACTCTATAAAACTCTATGTTTGTTACTTTTCTTCAACCAGAATCTTAGTGCTTCACAATTCTATGGATAGTATTTACTCCAAAACCTGAGCCTAAAAGTGCTTAAATAATTTTTCTACTATAGCAAAATACACATTTTCTTTATTCTATAGTATGCTCTATACAAATGTTTGTAATATTAAATAATAAAATGCCTAACTAACCATCAATCAGTGGGTAAAAAAGCATCTCCCCACCCTTAGTCAACAATTAGTGATGCTGTTTCTTTACAGGAGTGGTTATTGGGAAAATTGAGAGTAGAGTGGAAATGTTTTTATCTCAACTATTACTCAAGAATTACTGCAGCTATAAGTCAGGATAAGTAGGTGATGTTTAACTCTTCAAATTCTATTTATTACTCACACCAAGAATGCAACAACTCAATCAGTATTTGCCTTCCAGTGCTGCCTTCTTAGCGCATAGTTCCTATGTGAATCACAGCCTCATGGAGGAAACATGTGAAGAAATTACACCTCATCCTGTATATTTTGACCTGGAAATGAGACATGGCACTTCTGTTCACAGGCTATTGGTAAAACTAGTGACATGACCCCACAGAAAATCCAGAGGGCTATGAAATGTGAAGAAGCTCATGGATTTTTTTGAAAAATTGAGCAGTTAATATTACCGCCATACCCAATGTTATTTTAATATTTCCCACTTAATTTCACCGGATATCATAAGACAGATAACTGTGTCTGTGTGAATCACGACATTCTATATTAAAACCAAATGTTATGTAACAACTTCAGCATATTAGAAGGTGAGTCTGAGAAACGATTCGGGGGCACACTATGCTTCTTTCTCAGTGCAGACTTTTTTTACCCTTCACTAGCTGGGATCTCCATTTTATATCATTATTTCTTAATAGGATACCTCTTTAAACATGGCAATTTATATAGGCAGGGTTCCTTGGTGATTGCATTTGTTCTTATCACAGGATAACATACAGAATATAGGAATTTATTAATTATAAGGGAACTTGGAAAATCTTGCCCATTTTCTTAAATCAAGATAAGTCATCTTTAAATGATGTCAGATAGAAAATAATATTTCAATAGAGATTTGCAGAGAGGAGATTTTATACTTTCCCATAGTAATTACCCTGAAAGTGAACAAGTTGAAGATCAGACAGTTTCTCAGAGCACTTTATAATGTTTTCCTTTGGTTTTGATCTCAGGATAAGTGAACCACAGTCGCTCTCTAATCTTGCCTAAGATATTTTTTCCTTTTGGTTTTATTTCATTTATTCTTAGGTAGTATGCTTCTCAGTTGCCCTCAGTTTTTTCTTCTCCATGATGAATAGTCCTGGTTCTTTGAATGTTTCCTTGTAGATTTAAATCACCAGGTCTTACTCATCTCTGTGACTATTTTTTCTAAACTTCCCAACTCTTCTATTTTGCTATTTCATGGTATAATCTGGATTTTGGATAATGCAGCAAGAATAAATGAGGTATTATTTTCCACTACAAGTACATTAAAGTGGCCATGCTTATAGCATCCTTTACAGATATTGCCACAGCACAATATATAAAGGTCTGCAATATTCACTTGGGAAGTTAACTCTCTACAACTAGATTTTACATTGAATACATTGCTATTTACTTTTTGGCTTGTTTTTGCTTTCCAGCCCTCTTGAGACCTGTCAGCTGTCTGACCTTCAGAAAGTGTGTGGACTATTTCTGGCTGAGAGTGGAAAGAGAAATTGCATGGGAAAGGAAATCCTCATATGAGTGTCAGCTGAATTTTGGATGGTGATGAAATTCAGATGATTTAAATAAGCTCTGGATGAACAGATAACATTTTGGAGGATCATTTGAACTACTCATGAATTCCCAAGAGTGCATGGTTCATCTATCATTGGGTATCCAGGAGGCTAACTCATCTATCCACCGTAATTTCCTAGGGTATCTTATTGCATCACACTCAAACAGTTGCAGATTTGAATGTGGACTTCAAAGTTCCTTCAAGCAATACAGTATGGTCGGAGCAAAACACACTGTGGAAAGCTGTTCAGTGGATTGTATCCGATTTCAAAGTCATCTTTTCAACTGTCGTATTGCCTATATCAGAGTTTGTTATTTTTCTTGTCCCTAGCTGAGAGTTGAGCTCATTCTGTGGGAAGTATCTCTAAACCACTAACTGACTTTGAAGCCAGTACAACTAAGGGAGATTAGAAACTTGGCACAGGCTTCTTCTCAAAGCATTTAGAGCATCTTCCCTAAGTTTGTTTGTTTGTTTTTAGACAGTGTCTTGCTCTGTCACCCAGGCCAGAGCGCAGAGAGCGATCTCAGCTCACTGCAACCTCCACCTCCTGGGCTCAAGTGATTCTCCCACCTTAGCCTCCTGAGTAGCTGAAACTACAGGCACTCACCCAGCTAATTTCTTTATTTTTGTAGAGATGGGGTTTCTCCATGTTGTCCAGGCTAGTCTTGACCTCCTGGACTCAAGTGATCTGCCCGCCTCTGCCTTCCAAAGTTCTGGGCTTACTGGTGTGAGCCACTGTGCCAGGCCTGAGTTTTTTGATATGTATAATTTAGTATAATTCAGAAGCAAAGATGGGATTTCAGAGATTTGTAACTAGGTAGAACTCATACCAGTTTGGCATCTGGAAGTGTCAGAGATATGCAGGTGGACATATGAGAGAATATAGAAAAGAATCCAGGCCCTTGGCTTATCTAGTTTTATTTAAGTGACTTTAAACAAGGTTTTGCCTTCTTTTTCTCTGTTTCTTCATTTGTAAATGCGTTATAAGGATATCTTTCTTGTTTCTATTACATCATATTTTGAGACACACATGATATCAGAAGTTATGCCTTAGTTTTCTTATAATGAATCCCATGGGCAGCCTGTACGGAGTCTATGAAATGTTTCTCAGAATAGGATTTTTTAAATATCAATACACATACATATATATGTATGCATACATAGATAGCTTTAAAAAACAAGCTTTTATAAAGATAGTTATCTAAATGTAAAAAGATAAATTTGTAAAAAAGAAATACATGTGTTACTATATCAGTGCGTTGTATAATAAGGATCTAGTGATGCATCTACTATCATTATTTTATTTTATTTTTTAATTTTAATTTTAGATTGAGGGGGTACATATGCAGGTTGGTTACAGTTTGTTAGAAGAGTGTACTGTGTCATACTAAGATTGGGCTTCTGTTGATCATGTCACCCAACTAGTGAACATAGTATCCAATAGGAAACTTTTCATCCCTTTATCACCTCCCTTCCTTCCCTCTCTTCTAGTTCCCAGTCTCTATTGTTCCCAACTTTATGCTCATGTTACCCGAGATTTAGCCACTACTTGTAAGTGAGAACATGTGATATTTGGTTTTCTGTTTTGTGTTAAATTCACTTAGGATAATGGCCTCTAGCTGCATGCATGTTGCTGCAAAAGACATGATTTTGTTATTTTTTATGGCTGTATAGTATTCCATGGTATATGTATACCACATTTTCTTTATCCAGTCCAGTGGGTTGATGGGTACCTAGACTGATTCTGTGTCTTTGCTATTGTAGTTAGTGCTGTGATAAACATACAGGCACAGATGTCTTTTTGGTGGAATAATTTATTTTCCTTTGGGTATATATCCAACAATGGGGTTGATGGGACTAAATGATAGTTCTATTTTTAGTTCTTTGAGAAATTTTCATACTACTTTCTACAGTGGCTGAACCAATTTATATTCCCATGAACAATGTATAAATGTTCCCTTTTCACCATAGTCTTCCCAATGTATTATTTTTTGACATTTTAATAATCCGTTCTGACTGGTTCGAGATGGTTTCTCCTTGTGGTTTTGAATTACGTTTCTCTGATGATTAGTTATGTGGAACATTTTTAAACATGTTTCTTGGCTGTTTTATGTCTTCTTTTGAGAAGTGTGTGTTTATGACCTTTGACCACTTTTTAATTTTTTTCCTTGTTGATTTGTTTGTTTCCTCTAAGTTCTGAATATTAATGCTTTGTCAGATGCATAGTTTGCAGATATTTTCTCCCATTCAGTATGTTGTATGTTTACTCTGTTGATAGTTTATTTTGCCGTGTAGAAGCTCTTTAGTTTAATTAGGTCCCATTTGTCAATTTTTGTTTTTGTTGCAATTGCTTTCAGGGATTTAGTTACAAATTCTTCACCTAGGTCGCTGTCCAGAAGGGTATTTCCTAGGCTTTCTTCTAGGATTTTGATAGTTTGAGGTTTTACATTTAAGTATTTGATCCCTCTTGAGTTAAGTTTTGTATACAGTGATAAGCAGGAGTCCAGTTTCATTCTTCTGTGTATAGTTAGCCAGGTTTTCTAGCACCAACTGTTGAATAGGCAGTCCTTTCTCTATTGCTTATTTTTGTCAACTTTGTCGAAGATCAGTAGCTTGTAGGTGTCTGGCTTTATTTCTAGGTTCTCTATTCTGTTTATTAATCTATGTCTGTATTTTTTTAACCAGTACCATGCTGTTTTGGTTACTGTAGCTTTATAGTATAGTTTGAAGTCAATGTGGTGCCTGCCTTCAGCTTTGTTCTTTTTGCTTAGGATTGCTTTAGCTCTTTGTGCTCTTTTTGGTTCCCTATGTATTTTAGAATATCTTTTTTTTCTAATTCTGTCAAAAATGACATTGGTAATTTGATAAGAATAGTGTTGAATCTGTAGATTGCCTTGGGCAATGTGAACATTTTAACAATATTGATTCTTCCAATCCATGAGCATGGAATGTATTACCATTTGTTTATGTTGTCTATGATTTGTTTCAGAAGTATTTTGTAGTTCTCCTTGTAGAGATCTTTCACCTCCTTGGTTAAATATACTCCTATGTGTTTTATTTTTTTGTGTGTCTATTCTAAATTGGATTGCATTTTTATTGCCCTCAGCTTAAGTGTTATTGATGCATAGAAATGCTACTAATTTTTATAAGCTGATTTGGTATCTTGAAACTTTAATGAAGTCATTTATCAGGTCTGGGAGCCTTTTGGCAAAGTCTTTTGTGTTTTTTACCTATAGAATTATATCATCAGAGAAGAGAGATAATTTGACTTCCTCTTTTGCTATTTATATGCCTTTTCTTTCTTTCTTTTGCCTGGTTGCTCTGCCTAGAACTTTGTTTTCTGTTTTTGTTTTGTTTTGTTTTTGTTTTGTTTGAGGCAGGGTCTGGCTCTGTTACTCAGGCTGAAGATCTCGGCTCACTGAAACCTCTCCTTCCTGGGGTCAAGTGATCCCCCCCACCCCAAGTAGCTGGAACCACAGGTGTGTGCCACCATGCCCGGCTAATTTTTATGTATTTTTTGTAGAGAAATACATAAAACATAGTGGGGTTTTACCATGTTTCTCAAGCTGGTCTTGAGCTCCTGGACTCAAGCTGTCTGCCTGCCTCAGCCTACCAGAGTGCTGGGATCACAGGCATGAGCCACCGCACCCAGATGGACCTCTAGTGTGTTGAATAGGAGTGGTGAGAGTGGGCATCCTTGACTTGTTTTAGTTCTTAGGAGAATGCTTCCAGCTTTTTCATGCTCAGTATGATGTTGGCTGTGAGTCTGTCATAGATGACTGTTATTATTTTGTGATATGTTCCTTTGATGCCTAGTTTGTTGAGGGGTTTTATCATGAAGGGATGTTGGGATTTATTGAAAAGTTTCTCTGCACCTATTGAGATGATCACATAATTTTTGTTTTTAATTCTTTTTATGTGGTGAAATACATTTATTGATCAGCAAGGTACTACAATAATTTTAAAACAGTGATGAGTACAAAGGAAATTAAGAGAATCTGCAATAATTATAATGTAATAAGAACCTACCTGTGATTTCTATTGGTAACTACAAAACAGTTTCTGCCTTTACTACTATGGGCTATCATTTACTTTCATAATTCAAGGACATGTTATATTTCAATTAGAGTTGAGTAAAAAATAAGATTTGTTTTTTGACTTCAGACCACTTTCCATGGACTCCCAATTAAATATAAAAAAAATGTATTTAAGTATTGGAGACTTTAAGTTATAAATTTGATCTCTTTCATTTTTTTTTAGATGATGAAATAAAGACCCACAGTAAGTCTGCAGAATCACACAGCTAGGTAGAGACAGAAGTCCTGAGTCAGACCATTTTGCCTGCATCTCATCACTGCATTGACATGGATAATTTTCTTTACCTCCTGCCTGCCCCAGGGTTCTTTCTCTATTTGCTTGCCTAGCTGGATGCCTAATCTCTTCTTGATGCCCTTGGGCCTCTGCAGAGTTCTCTTTAAGTTTTTTTTCCATGTGTTTATTTCATTAACAAACTCTTCGTAACACAACTTTGTCGGCATATTAACGTTTCTACTGAATAATTTAGAGCAGATTCTCCCATTTCACCATCCACCAAAATTACCTAGTGGGCTTGTTAAAATACTGAAGGTCCAATTTTCATGTCTCTTAGATTTTCTACTACTGCTATAAGAAACTGCAACAATTTTAATGTCTTAAAACAACACAAATGTATAATGTTACTGTTATAGAGGGAAGATGTCCAAGGTAGGTCAGCTGGGCTGCATTCCTTCTGGATACTCCAGTGGAGAATCTGTTTCCTTGCCTTTTCTACCTTCCAGAAGTCACCTGCCTTTCCTGCATCACTCTGAGCTCTACTTCTATCACCACGTTTCCTTTCCCTCTGTGGTCCTCCCGCTTTTCTCTTTTTAGGACCCTTGCAATTACACTGGGTCAATCCAAATAACCCAGGATAATCTTTCCATCTCAAAATTCTTAACATACCTGCGAAGTCCCTTTGCCATGCAAAGTAACTATTTGCAGGTTCAGGGAATTAAGATGCGGATGTCTTTGCCAGGCTCTTACTCTGTCTAACCTAGTGTATTAGTCTGTTTTCGCACTGCTGTAAAGAACTGTCTAGCCAGGCATGGTGGCTCACGCCTGTAATCCCATCCCTTTGGGAGGTCCAGGCAGGTGGATCACCTGAGATCAGGAGTTCAAGACCAGCCTGGCCAACATGGTGGAACCCCATCTCTCCATGTTGTACTTGTACATGTTGTATTTGTACTAAAAATAACAAAAATTTAGCTAGGTGTGGTGGCACGCATCTGTAATCCCAGCTAATCTGGAGGCTGAGGCAGGAGAATCGCTTGAACCCAGGAGGCAGAGGTTGAAGTGAGCCGAGATCACACCACTGCACTGTCCAACCTGGGCAACAGAGCAAGACTCTGTCAAAAAAAAAAAAAAAAACTGCCTGAGACCAGGTAATTTATAAAAGAAAGAAGAGGTTTAATTGACTCACCATTCAGCATGGCTGGGAAGGCCTCGGGAAACTTACAGTCATGGTGGAAGGCGAAGGGGAATCAAGGCACCTTCTTCACAAGGCGGCAGGAAGGAGAAGTGCAGAATGATGAGGGAAGAGCTCCTTCTATAATCATCAGACCTTGTGGGAACTTCCTATTACAAGAACAGCATGGGGGAAACCGCCCCCATGATTCAATTAGCTCCACCTGGTCTTTCCCTTGACATGTGGGGATTATGGGGATTGCAATTAAAGATGAGATTTGGGTGGGGGCACAAAGCCTAACCATATCACATAGGTTGGCACACAGCAAGCTTCCAGGAGATGCTGATGCTACTGATCTGGGTACCACACATTGAGAACTATTGGTTGAGTGGAATGAGCATTTAGATAAGTAGACAGTCGTGTGTTCTAAATCAGACCAACTGCAAACTGATGAAGCAACCTTGAAGATGTCAGGAAATCTCTCTGACTTTTGGTTTTCACATTTATAAAAAGAGTACTCAATTGTCTTAACTGCTCACTAGTTTATTACAATAAAGAATTTTGGATTATTATGCTATTACAAGCAAATAGCTATTACCAGTAATAGTAATAAGGACAGTCCCTTTATACTTTATGGGAGATGAGGAAGAAAATTGGCAGAGAATAGAATTGATCTGGCCTAAAATAAAAGGTAAATACTTGCTCCCTTTTTTGTTACCAGCAATTTCAAGTTTAAAAAAAAAAAAAAAAGGATACAGTCAAGTCCCAAAG